>NC_000012.12:38672249-38823764 GCF_000001405.40 Homo sapiens | reverse complement strand
GTTTAAGAAAGATTGCCATTCTCTCCTCTGGGAGGAAAATATTTATTATGTTCCTCAAGTAATAGGCCTATTTGTTCCTGTTACTCTCAGCCAGGCATGAGTGGTTCCATATAAAAGGATCAGGGAAAAAGGCAGGCACTGGTAATAATTAGAAACTAGATTCTTACTCCAGGGAGAAGCAGGATACAATGGGAAGAAGCAGTACCAGCAGTAATGGTACCAGCAGCTGTTTTGACTAAAGGACGTTTAGGAGGGCAAAGGCTATGTTTTTTGTAGGCTGGCAAAAGCACTTTGTGATCTAGGCAGTTGGTAGTGGGTGGAGAATTAAGGGAAGGTTCGTAGATGGATGATTGTGTCCTAACAGGTGAAGAGGACAGGGACAGGGACTCAGAGGCAAGTGATAATTGAAAAACCAGCTTGTAATTGTCTGATAGATGTGGGGATCTCAATTGTGACTTAGGGTTCAAGGACAGAGACAGACAGGTGCTGAAGTACAACAAGATGAAAGCAGGGAGAGGAACAGAGCAGAAAGGAAGCTTCAGAATAAGGAAGAAGACTAAAATAGAAGAATAGTGTTTGAGGGGACTTGAGGCAGAGACTTACAGGGTTGGCTTGAAGATTTGACACAGATGTGGACTTATCCTGAAAGTTAGGCTTTGACTGTGAATGCACTTAGAGATCAAATGTCTGTGAGAAGGAAGAGGAGGAAGAGGGATAGGAGAATGCATAGTCATAAAAGTGGGAAACATACAAACTCACCATAAAACAGGGCATGTTTTTAGCATGCAGCTTTTTGCCTGTAAAAATGTAATCAACTTTGGGGGAAATTTTGAGGCTCAAAGTAATCTTTATTAATTAAATTGATATTGTTATGCTCTCTAATTTACTTCAGTGGGAAGAATATTGGGCTGGACTCAGAAGATGGTGTTTTTAGTCCTATCTCTGCTACTAACTTGCTATTGCAATATTAGGCCGTTTTTACATCTATACTTTTTTTTATGTCTATGGGTCACATTTGTAATAAGAATTTGCTGTAGAGCTAAATAAACAGCCACTGTAATGAAGTTGATAGTACATGAGCTTTGGGAGCAGTCAGACCTGGGTGTTACAATTGATTAGGTATGTAATTTGAGCAAAGTGCATCAAATTCCTGAGACCCAGCTTCCTCATCTGAAATATCTGAATAACACTCATTTAAGAGTATTATTGTAAGTAACATCAATACTTTATACAACTGATTTGTGATGGAGCACATTAGAATTTAATAAACACTCATTGTTTTTATTAAAAATAGCCAGTATCTTTCCTTCCTTCCTTCATGTTTATTTTTCTTAGAGACGTGTTTAGCTAGGAATTCAGCAAGTTTAAGGAAAGGACCGTGTTAAACCAAACTTGATTACACTTATGTAAAGTGGTAAGTATTATCCAAATATAAATATTAAAAACTATTTGTCTGTTTTCAGTATGTAGCTGAACTATCAAATAGGGGAACTGAGTTAGATTTCTTCTTTTCATTAGTTTGGGTTTTATAAGATAGTTTTGGAAATATCCCAAATTTCCCATGTTAACATGTAATTACAAAAAATAATCCAGGGTTCAGTGTCAATTAAGAATAAAATATTTTTTTATTTGCAAAGACTACACAGATGTGTATACATGTTTGTAATCTTCACATGACTCAACACATTAAAAATAAAACCACTGATTGCCTTTCAGATAGATATTAGATACTTCACCAGCCTAGAGTAGAGCTTTAATCTACTTCTGGGAAAGCCTCTCGAAAAATGGTATATTCTTTTTAAAGGCCAAAGATAGAAGGAATTTTAGTACATTTACTCATGTTATTATACACAAGCTTCTGAGGTTTACATATAATCGAAGTTTAATCAAAATGTTGAGTTGAACCACTTTCTTGCATTCATTTTCGAATGTGAGTGAGCTCATTCTCTGGAATGATCTCCAGGGAGGTAAATTGCTTACTCTAAATAGGCAGATTATGTGTATCTGCAGATTCCCATGATTCTCTGCTCTACTCAGATATTCCAGTAGTGACAACTAAAGTCATACAGATGAAGAACTCTTCTGGATGGAAAGGATTGTAAAGGATATGACCAGTCATGAGAGATATAGGTAAAATGAATGAGTTTTTTACAAAATAGCCTTTAATGTCATTGTCAGAGACAAGCCTCAGAATGATTGGTTGGTTGTTCTGACTTGGTGTGACATGTGTCTTGTTCCTATGAGACTTGTGTGCAAATAAGCCCTTTGGGCATCCCAGTTTAGGAAAGAAAAACAAAAGGAAAAATTATTTTACGAATGGTAACTTTATAGAGCAAATAATTTACTGACAGATTCTGGTAGATAGAATCTGAGTATAATAGAGGTTTTAGGGATTGTGTTTTTTAAAAATAATATATTCAACAAATCTTTACTAGGAATTGATTATGGATCAGAAACTGTTAGGTACTAAGTATACAATGATGAATATGCAAAGTTGTTCCTGTCTTTATTGGTTTTTACCATTTATTCATTAAATGAATAATCATGCAACTAAGTATAATTGCATATTGATACAGGCCCTATGAAAATTAGAATATTAGCTTAACCTACAATATGTAGGTCATTTTTAGTATTTTAAACTTTATCATAAATGCAATGGGAAAATTTACGATTTTTTTCAAAGAGGATCATTGACTTCTGTGTAGAGGATGGTTGTATGTGGTTAACAGATAGTTGTTTGGGTTAGGAAGATGAGGAAAAATGGACAGATGAAAAATATGTTCTGAAGGTTGATTTCACAAGGATTGGTGAAAGGTTGATGGTCTAGGTTGAAGAAGATTTCAAGGACCTTCAGGTTTCTTTCATGAGACAGTGGATGTAAGGAGGATGTATGCTAACAAAAGGAAGATCATCCATTTTTGAGGTTGCCATACAGATTGGTGAGCTTTAGTAGTAGATGGGACATTCTGTCCATGTGTTTTAGGTGCCAGTATTCACCCAGAGTTTCAACATTTGCAAGATATTTTTGTTTATATTTGCCTAACCTCATTGGGTTGGATTGAAAACCTGTTGGAAACATTATAACTGAAGGAAACAAGTGATAAGACATGATCTATATTATTTTGGAGGGTGAGTTCTAATAGTATTACCTTTATAGATTCAGCGAACATTCTCAGTTTCACTCAAATAAAGCTAATAAACAGGTTAGTTTTATTTGATACTTCACCAGCCTATAAAACTAATAAAGCTTGTTTATTAGTTTTATTTGGGTGACACTAAGAATGTTCTTAGTTTTCTAAATAAAACTAATTTATTCAGATGAGTTTCTATTTTTCTTTTCTTTCTTTCTTTTTTTTTTCTGAGATGAAGTCTCACTGTGTTGCCCAGGCTGGAGTAGAGTGGCACAATCTCGGCTCACTGCAACTTCTGCCTCCCGGGTTCAAGCAATTCTCCTGCCTCAGCCTCCTGAGTAGCCAGGATTATAGGTGCACATCACCACGCCCGGCTAATTTTTGTATTTTTAGTAGAGATGGGGTTTCACCATGTTGGCGAGGCTGATCTTGAACTCCTGATCTTGTGATCCCCCCATCTTCGCCTCCCAAAGTGCTGGGATTACAGGAGTGAGCCACCACGCCCTGCCAATTCAGTTTAGTTTCCAAATGGTTGCTTTTTGTATAGGAAGTGTTTAGAAGTTATATTGTGATAAAATCTTTCAGAGAAACTACAGTTTCCTCTACAGTGAAATTTATTGCTCCTTTCTTCTTTTTTTTCCTCTTGTGTATGGCATAGTTTGATGATTCTAGGATTCAAAATGCAGGCTAAGAATATTAGTTCTGTAGTTAAACAAACTAATAGGTGAGGAAAGACCTTTATGGACCAACCTTGGAACATAAGCATCACACTTATCTTGGTCTGAGTTATAACGCACTGATAAAATGAGTGTTTGGAAGGAACATTTGGGAATTATCTCTGCTCTTTTTTTTTTTTTTTTTTTTTTTGAGACGGAGTCTTGCTCTGTCACCCAGGCTAGAGTGCAGTGGTGTGATCTTGGCTCACTGCAAGGTCCGCCTCCCGGGTTCACACCATTCTCCTGCGTCAGCCTCCCGAGTAGCTGGGACTACAGGCGCCCGCCATCACGCCCGGCTAATTTTTTGTATTTTTAGTAGAGACAGGGTTTCACCATGTTAGCCAGGATGGTCTCGATCTCCTGACCTTGTGATCCGCCTGCCTCGGCCTCCCAAAGTGCTGCAATTACAGACGTGAGCCACCGCGCCCGGCCCTATCTCTGCTGTTATACTTATTCTCAGGTGGATGTTAGTTATCAAAGCAAATAAAAGGGAGCTGTGAATTGTTATTTTAAGTAATACCAGTGGCTAACTTGATTGCATTATAATAAGTCAGTTATGGCTAGCCATATGCAGAAAACTGAAACTGGATCCCTTCCTTATGCCTTATACAAAAATTAACTCAAGATGGATTAAAGACTTAAATGTAAAACCTAAAACCATAAAAACCCTAGAATAAAACCTAGACAATACGATTCAGGACATAGGCATGGGCAAAGACTTCATGACTAAAACACCAAAAGCAATTGCAACAAATGTCAAAATTGACAAATGGGATCTAATTAAATTAAAGAGCTTCTGCACAGCAAAATAAACTATCATTAGGGTGTACAGGCAACCCACAGAATGGGAAAAATTTTTTGAAATGTATCAATCTGACAAAGATCTGAAATCCAGAATCTTTAAGGAATTTAAACAAATTTACAAGAAAAAATCAAACAACCCTATCAAAAAGTGGGCAAAGTATGTGAACAGACACTTCTCAAAAGAAGACACTTATGCGGCCAACAAACATATGAAAAAAAGCTCATCAACACTGGTCATTAGAGAAATGCAAATCAAAACCACAGTGAGATACCATCTCATGCCAGTTAGAATGGCAATCATTAAAAAGTCAGGAAACAACAGATGTTGGAGAGAATGTGGAGAAATAGGAATGCTTTTACACTGTTGGTGGGAGTGTAAATTAGTTCAACCATTGTGGAAGACAGTGTGGGGATTCCTAAAAGATCTAGAACCAGGAATACCATTTGACCCAGCAATCCCATTACTGAATATATACCCAAAGGATTATAAATCATTCTACTATAAAGACACATGCACACATATGTTTATTGCAGCACTGTTCACAATAGCCAAGACCTGGAACCAACCGAAATGCCCATCAATGATAGACTGGTTAAAGAAGATATGGCACATATACACCATAGAATACTGTGCAGACATAAAAAAGGATGAGTTTATGTCCTTTGCAGGGACATGGATGAAGCTGGAAACCATTCTCAGCAAAGTAACACAGGAACAGAAAACCGAACACTACATGTTCTCATTCATAAGAGGGAGTTGAACAATGAGAACACGTGGACACAGGGAGGGGAACATCACACACCAGCACCTGTCATGGGGTGGGGGACCAGGGGAGGGAGAGCATTAGGAAAAACACCTAATGCATGTGGGGCTTAAAACCTAGATGATGGTTGATGGGTGGCAGCAAACCACCGTGTAACAAACCTGCACTTTCTGCACATGCATCCCAGAACTGAAAGTATAATTAAAAAAAAAATCAGTTACTATTCTACTGGCTTTGCATCTATTGACTCCTCTAACCTTCATAGCACTATTACGAGCTAGACAAGTACTGTTATTATACCCATTTCATCAGAGGGAGAAACTGAGACAAGATTCTGAAAAAACTAAGTTCAAATACAGGGTGTTTGGCTTTCATGCCTGCATGCTTAACCACAGCATTATATTGCCTTCAAAAAAATGAATAAATTGGCCAGGCGCAGTGGCTCACGCCCGTAATCCCAGCACTTTGGGAGGCCAAGGCAGGAGGATCACGAGGTCAGGAGATCGAGACCATCCTGGCTAACACAGTGAAACCCTGTCTCTACTAAAAATACGAAAAATTAGCCGGGCGTAGCGGTGGGTGCCTGTAGTCCCAGCTACTCGGGAGGCTGAGGCAGGAGAATGGCATGAACCCAGGAGGCGGAGCTTGCAGTGAGCTGAGATCGAACCACTGCACTCCAGCCTGGGAGACAGAGCGAGACTTTGTCTCTCACAAAAAAAAAAAAAAAAAAAAAAAGAATAAATTAATGTGTAACTTTAAACGAAATTTAAAAATTTGGTATCACTTTAGTAATACAGAATCATTTACTGAAGAGTCAAGAATATCTCTAGATGCAAGAAGAGCTCCCAGGGAACACCCATTCTGATTTAGGTCATTTCAAGGATGAGGTTCCTTCCTGGTGTCTGTTACCCATGCAACTCTTCCTCAAGCACAGTCCAGTGGCCCACCTTTATCTGAGATAAACAGGGCTCAACTATTTTCCAGAACAGAGCCAAGACAGTCTAAATATAGGAAGGCAATTGGAAGGATTAAAAAATAAATTCATTTTTAGTTTTGGAAATAAGTACTTCTGTTTTTTTCCCCTTATTTGGAAAATCATTGTTTTGAATTGACAATGTGGTAACAAGAAAACTTCACAGTGTTGTCATCGTACCTGGTCATTTTTTCTATTTGATAATTCAGGATGATTTGCCCAGTCTCTAACTCTACAGAGTTTTCTAGGGCTTTCTATCCTTTCAAAAGTTCCTGTTTAATTGGCTCACATATTCCCTGGAGAAAGGGAAGGGGAGAGATTAGACATACTGTTAGTGTTTGTATTCATTCATTCGTTTATTTAAAAAGCTTTTGAGTATTTAGCCTTGATTGGGCTGTGGCATCATTTTAGGTCCAGGTAGACTCAGTGCATCAGGCTGCCCTGAGAACAAATGCCAGTAAGTAAAAATTTCCAATAATCTTGACATTTCACTGTTTTCTTTGATAACAACAATAGTGATTGGACCCTCCCAGTAATTGTGGAGATAGATCAACTGGCTCTCAATTCTTTCACAGTTTGAGGTAACTCTGATGAAAGATTCTAAACATGGACAGCAGTTTAGTAAGTGGACATTCACAAATACAGCTACATTCCAGTATATATTTTTAATCATTAGCAGGAATTTATTTCAATTTTTAAAATAAATATACAATTTCTGGCTAACTGTGAATTGTTAGTTTTTCTGGTATTAGAGTGATGGTTCTTTCTCCCCTTTCTTTCATACTATTTTTGTTTGTTTTAAATTACCAATTTTTCTTTCTTAAGCAGGTCTGCTAAACAACAACAAAACAAAGAACCTTCAATAGTTGCTCCTGTTAGGTTTTTATTAATTCTCCTGTATACTATGACACAGGGAGTCCACAGCATGCTGGATCAAAGAACCTGAACAAACTTCTAAAACTCAATCAAGAGGCTGAATACCTTCCCCCATTTCTTTCTTTATAGAACAATTGTAAAGAGACTTCAAAAGAAAACATTATATTCTTTGTATTGTAGAGACCTGTTGTGCCTTGTAAATAGTAAGAGTTCAATAAATGTTTATTGCACTGAATTTTCCAGGATAATAGTCACATTTATATGTTTCCTCTTTTTCTCTTGATTATTTTAAGTATCTCTCCTGCACATTATAACTTTGCACTTGTTTCCCAAGACTTAGGAATTTTAAAATTCAGACTTTAAAAATACAGAATTTTAAAATTATAATAGCCTTGCTACATGTGTACCTTACCACATTATAAATGCAAACTATGATTTTAGTAATATTAGAAACCTCATATTTCTGTAGATGGATAGATAGATAGACCTAAGTTATCAGAGCACAACAATTTCTTGAAACATTTTTGACATATGTGGTATGTAAGAGCTAGGAATATGCTACTCTATTCAATAATTGTTTATTTTTAAAAACAAAATCTGAATCTCCAGAGGTTGAGCAGTTTACTTTGTTTTTGTTACTGAAAAATCTATGTATTACATAATTTATTGTACTCCTTATGATTCCTTACCATGATAATAACTATTTTGCTTTCCTTTTAATGTCAACATTTACATTCTAACTATAAAATGAGATCCCATTTAGTCTAATTACTATGTTAAAAATTACCGGGTAACAGATGGATTTTTTGATGAGCATAGTGTTTTAAATTTTAAACAAAAGTTGCAATTTTAGTTTCTGGCATATGATGTATTTTAACAGTGAGCATAGTGTGTTTCATGTGTGACAGCGAATTTATTAAAATCTTAGAAATGACATGTTGTTAATAATTTGAAAATAAAAAACTGCATAGAAAGATAAATGCATCTGCTTTAAATTAAATGAATCATTAGTTTTAAACTGTACTTGCATGCATCTTTTATTTTTAGTTGAGGAAAGATTGAATGACATGTGAAAAGCTCTTGGGCACAGTGTGATAGAGGATTAGATAATAAATATGACAACTAATATTTAATATGATATCTACTCAGCGTAAAAGGTGAGATTGTAAAAATAAAAGGCTAGGAGTGGTGAGAAGAGGAAAGGGTAAGTGCTGGGGGGCTTGAAAAAAGTTATTCATAATATTTGGAGAAGCTACTGAGCAGAAAAGGAAAATGTGCTTGGAAGGGTCACAGAACATTGCAGATGGAGCTATGGCTGGAGCCCAGGACCCAGTGGTGGCACCAGCCTGTTTGGCTCTGTAGTAGGATCCTGCAGTGCTCACACCACATGAGTCTGCCTAGGTGCAGAGAGGGCAAATAGCTGGGGTTGACGACACCATAGAAGGATGAGGTCAGTGTGAAAGGGTATTGAAGATGTGACAATAAATTTAATGAAATGTGTGACCAAAGCAGAAAGTATCATACGTAAGGTATTGCAGGTCTTATGTGGCTAACTTAAAAATATATATATATAAAGTTAAAATTGTTGACATATTCACTACCAAAATATAATTGTTTCAATGGGGTCCATGATGAACCTACAGAGGTTTCTAAGAGGACACTAAACAAGAAATAAAAAGCTATATTATTTGCTGACAGCTATAATTAGTGTTACTATAGTTTACAATCTAGTATAGAATATGAAATGCTATATATTAATAGTTATATAGAGAATATTCCAGACTGTGTCAAAGCATAAGATGTAGGCCTGTAAATGGATATTTAGTCATAAGATCTTAAAATTCCATTGTTCAGCAAAGAAAAATAAAAGCCACATAAATAGCCCACCCTAAATCAATAGGGGAAGGAAGTCAGGAGCAGGACTGGTTTTTAAAATTCAGGTCTGAGGTCACAAGTTCAAGACCAGCCTGATCAATATGGTGAAACCCCGTTTCTATTAAAAATACCAAAAAAAAGATTAGCTGGGCATTGTGGTGTGTGCCTGTAGTCCCAGTTACTCAGGAGGCTGAGACAGGAAGATTGCTTGAACCCAGGAGGTGGAGGTTGCAGTGAGCCAAGATTGCACCACTGCACTCCAGCCTGGGCAGCAGAGTGAGACTCTGTCAAAAAAAAAAAAAAAAAAAAAAAAAAAGCCAGGTCTGGCTCCTTAAACTTTCTTCAGTTTTTTTAATCTCACTACAGTTGAGATATATTTTCTTTTCTGGCTTAGTCAAGCATGTTTCTCCTCTTCTCCTAAGCAGTTGCATTTATCAAAGCTTTGCATTTCGGTACACAGAGGCTTCTCTAGAGACCTTGCCTGCATCTTGAACTTCCTCCCTGACAGCCCGCAGACCCACAGTTCTGCTTCTACCTCATGCTGCAGCTCCCCCTCCATTCTTTCTATCCTCAAAGACTCTTCTTGTACAACTACTCAGCTACTACTCCCTCTTCAACTCATTCTTCATGATTCCACTCCAGTGGCATACCTGGAGTCAGGGACCTCCTCCGTGTCATGTACCCCAGGTGCTTGCAGTTATCATATTTGGCCTCTCTGTGGCTATTGGAAATCTTGACCACTTCTTCCTTGAATCTCCTCTTCCTTTGCTTTCATGACACCATCTCTCTGAGGTTTTCTTCTGGCTCTCTCGATAGTTTTCACACTGTCTTTCGCAGGCCTAAGAATGACCTGGAATTTTATGCAGAATTCTGGGTGAAAATCTTTTCCTGAAAATTTCTGTAGCTCTTAATGGAGTCTCAAATGTGTCTGTGAATCAACAAAGTTTAAACCTACTGCCTGCAGTGTATATTAACCTGAGTGATCTATTACATGTCCCTGATTTTAACAGTCAACTTTATGCCATCAATGTTCATGTCTTATAACAATTATATTTCTCCCCTTGGCACAACTGCCCACTGAACATAGATGTCCCAAAGAAATCTCAAATTGAATAAGCCCCAAAATTGAATTTATCATTTATACCTCAAAACTCCTCCCGCTCTATTTTATTTCTGTGATAGCATCACTAGACAGTTTTCTAGGTTAGATAGCCAGAAGTCATATTCCAGTCTTTTTTCCCCTCTATCATTCTTTTCCCAATTAATGACCATCTTTTCTGGGACTCTTCTGTCCATCTCCACCTCCACTACCCTTGTGTAGCAACCCTTCTTATTTAGATCATTATATGGCTGTCACAACTGGCCTTTGATGTGTATGGTCTCATTATGCATTAGTCCTTTCTGTGTATAGCAGCTCCTAATTGTTTTTTCTGGAATAAGATATAAAATTCAGCCCCCTTTCCTTGTTTGAAATCCTCCAATTCTTTTCCATGCCCTTTGAAGAAAAATAATCTCAACTCTTTATGATAGCACTTGAGACCAAGCAGTTTATTCTCATATTCCTAAACACATCTTATGCTCTCAACTACTTAAATTTTCTCCAGTGGGCCGTATTCTCACAACAATGTATCTGCTCCCTATGTCGGAAAGGTACTTCTCTTAGTCTATTTTGTACTGCTATAACAGAATACCTGAGATTGGGTAATTTATAAGGAACAGAAGTTTAATCTTTCACAGTTTTGGAGGCTGCAGAATCCAAGATCAAGGCACAGTGTCCGGTAAGGACTTTCTTGCTGCATCTTTATATTGAAGAAGGCAGAAAGGCAAGAGGGGCACACTCTGTCCTCACATGGCAGAAGAGCAGAAGAGTGAGAAGCCACTTCCATAAACGCTTTTTAATAGTGGCGTTAATCCATTCATGGGGATGGAGCCCTCATGACTTAAACACCTCCCCAAAAGCTCCACTTCCCAACTGATATGGTTTGGCCATGTCCCCAGTCAAATCTCATTGTAGTTCCTGTAATCCCCACATGTTGTGGGAGGGTCCCAATGGGAGGTAATTGAATCATGGGGGTGGTTACCGTCATGCTGCTGTTCTCATGATAGTGAGTTTTCACGAGATCTGATGGTTTTTATAAGGGGCTTTTCCTTTTTTTCCTTGGCACTTCTCCTTCCTGATGCCATGTGAAGAAGGATGTGTTTGCTTCCCCTTCTGCCATGATTGTAAGTTTTCTGAGGCCTCTCCAGCCATGCTGAACTGTGAGTCAATTAAACCTGTTTCCTTTATAAATTACCCAGTCTCAGGTATGTCTTTATTAGCAGCATGAGAACAGATTAATATACCAACACTGTACCATTTGGGTGAATTTTCCAACACGTAAGTTTGGATGGGACACATTCAAATGATAGGACTATTTCTGCACCTGTTCAACTTGCCTATTTGTACTCACCTTTTTAGTAGACCCAGTTCCTGCCACCTTCTGTGTTAAATCTTCTTTGTCTCTGCCAGACCATGATTATTGCCCCATTTTTGGTGTTCTTCTATTGACTTTGTCTTACTTCAGTTTATATTGCCCGTTATCCTTTGTTGTTACTGCATCAGTGTCTGCATCAGTTATGACATCATTACTATGTGCTTATTTGCTTTTCTTCCCAAGAGACTCTCTAGGCTAGGGACCATATTTCTTCAACTTTGTGACCTCACTACCTAACATAATGCCTATAAAAGGGTAAGCACTACATACATTATTTTAAGAGCTGGAATCTTGCTCTGTCACCCAGGTGGGAATGCAGTGGCACAATCATAGCTCACTGCAGCCTCGAACTCATGGGCTCAACAGATCTTCCTGCCTCAGCCTCCCAAATAGCTAGGACTACAGGTGTGCACCACCACACCCAGCTAATTAAAAACCTTGGTTTGTTTGTTTGTTTCTTGTAGAGACATATTCTCACTATGTTGACTAGGCTGATCTCAAACTCCTGGCCTCAAGTGATCCTCCTGTCTCAGCCTCTGAAAGTGCTGGGACTTCAAATGTGAGCCACCATGCCTGGCCAATACATGTCTTTTAAACAATTATATTATGGAACCTAAGTTTGACTTTTTTTATGTTTCTTAATTTATATAACTGAAATCTTACTGTATATATTTTTGTGACTTGATTTTTTTGCTTAAAATAATTTGTGAGAACCATCCATGTAATATGTGAAGCCCTAGTTTATTCATTTTTTATTGCTATGTCAATTTTATGAATTACAAATAGATTTGCCTAGTATCTAGTCAACGAGCTTTTTTTGTTGTAGTTTAGTCTTTTTCTCATTGTTCTGTAATAATCTATTTTATGAATTATAAACAGATTTACCTAACATCAAGTTGATAGGCTTTTTTAGTAGTTTTTAGGTTTTTTTTTATATACGCAATACTGCAATAAAACTTATATGTCTTATATGCCTAGGAATGGAATTGTGAGATTACGGGTATGTGCAGGGTAGAAGGAAGAATTTTGGCTCTCATGATCTTAGCTATGTGGTGTCACACCCATAGTTAGGCTACTTTGCATGGCAGGAGGAAGTTTACAGGTATAGTTAAGGTTACTAATACGTTGAGCTCAAGATGAGGGTGGGCTTAATGTACTTACATGAGCCCTTCAAAACAGAAGAGAAAGGCAGACTAGGAAGTCGGAGAGATGCAGTAGGTGGGGAAGTCTAAGAGATTGAAAGAATGAGAAGGATTTGATCTTCCTTTCCTGGCTGGAAGATGTAGGGAGCCACATGGAAATCATGAGAAGAAAATGAATTTTGCCAACAACATGAATGAACTTGGAAGTGAAGTCTCTCTCAGATCCACTAGATAAAAACATAGACCACTTGACACTTTGATTTCAGCCTTTGAAATTCTAAAGAGAATACTTAGCTGATCCTACTGAAATTTTGATGTACAGAACTGACCAATGATGAATGGATATTGTTTTAGCCCACTAAGTTTATGGTAATTTGTTATGGCAATAGGATAGCCCCTATCCTCCACCCACTCCTCTTGCATAGAAGTGGGTGGAGAATGGGAGAATTTTGAAGAACATGTTAGAAAAAACTTAGAAAGCTTTGAATAGACATGATGAGTTGGGAAATACTCAGCTTACCCAAATGGCCGAAGACTCTCAAATGAAGAGATTGAGTATCAGGAAAGTCTACTCCAGAAAGAAGCATGAAGATGTGACTCTGATACTCCTGCTAAAACTTCAGGGAGATATACAATTAGAATATTCAGTTGCACAAAAGGCTCTTTGAAAAGACTGAATATGTGATCTCTAGACACTCTCAACTATCTCAGAAGAAAATAAATAGAGATAGTATTATCTAAGAAAGATCTGTGGAGGATGCCATTGCCTGGTGGAATGAGTCCTCATGACATATGCAGGAGACCCATAAAGATCTTGAGGATTTTTTGTCAGCAGAAGCACTGCCAACTTGGACTAAAAGAGAGAGAGGGAGAGTATAAATGAAAGTAGATTGTCATACCCTCCAACTTCTTCTGGCAGGAAACAGGCTGATAAAACTACTCAATTGCAATTTCTTGCTACCCTTTTACAAAAAAGGAAGAATGACTCAGTTGATGGAGTTGTGAACCATGAAAAAGCTCATAGAGTTTGCTCAGCTGGATTTCAAAATTATTTTGGACTCATGACTCCATTTTACCTTTTATTTCCTCCCTGTTTGAACTGGAATGTATATAACTGTTATCCTATGCTTGACCCATCATGTGTTGGAAGCAGATAATCTGTTTCTTTACAGCCACAGGTCCCTGATGGAGTGATCTATGTCCCATGATAGATTATATACAGAGCCCCAACCATATGTGATTTAAAGGATTTAGATGATGAGATTTGGAACATTAAAGCTGGTTAGATTTAGGGAAGATTTTTGAACTGAATTTGTGTTATAATGTGATGAGATCTTCAGGGACCTGGGCAGGGAGTGAATGTGTTTTTATATGGGAGGACCATGGATCATGAAGGCCAAAGGGTGAACTGTGAAAGCAAAATTCTGCCTCCATGATCCTCACTCTCTGATGTCACAACTATAGTTATGTTATGTTGTGTTATGTGGCAAAAGGAACTTTGCAGATGTAACTAAAATTACTAATCATGCTAATTAGCTGACCTTAAGATAGGAAGATTATCTTAGTCTATGTAGGTACACCTAATATAATCATGTGACCCTTTAAAGGCAGAAGAGATGCAATGCAAGAGAAAGTTAGACACTTGTAGAGTGAGAGGCACTCAACCTACTTGTTGCTGACTTGAAGACATGGAGGCCACGTGGAAACCGTGAGAAGGAATTAAATTATGTTTGCTATCAACCTGAGCCTCCAGATAAGAACACAAGCTGGCCGACACCTTGATTTCAGCATTGTGAGATCCTAAGCAGAATTCCCAGCTGAGCTCGCTCAACTTCTGACTTCCTAACTGTGAGATAGCATTATTTTAGCTGCTAAACTTGAGATAATTTATTTTGGCAATTTTAGAAAACTGACATAAGCAGCTTGAAATTTATTAGGTAACCAAATTGTTTTCCAAATGGTCATACTCAATTTACCTTTCATAGCAGTATAAAAGAATTCCACTTGTTTTTACTTTTTGTTGAAACTTGACACTTTCAGACTTAAATTTTTGTCAATATATCATATATTTTAATTAGCATTTACCTGTTTACTAGCGTGCTTGAAATCTACATATTTATTGCTTGTTTATCATATTCTATAAAATATTTGTTTATAACTTTGCCCATTTTTTCCTGTGAGGTGGTTTGCCAAAATTTTCTTACTGGTTTTTAAGCATTTTTTTATATAGTCTTTTTTTTATTTTATTTTATTATTATTATACTTTAAGTTTTAGGGTACATGTGCACAATGTGCAGGTTAGTTACATATGTATACATGTGCCATGCTGGTGTGCTGCACCCATTAACTTGTCATTTAGCATTAGATATATCTCCTAATGCTATCCCTCCCCCCTCCCCCCACCCCACAACAGTCCCCAGAGTGTGATGTTCCCCTTCTTGTGTCCATGTGTTCTCATTGTTCAATTCCCAACTATGAGTGAGAATATGCGGTGTTTGGATTTTTGTTCTTGTGATAGTTGACTGAGAATGATGGTTTCCAATTTCATCCATGTCCCTACAAAGACATGAACTCATCATTTTTTATGGCTGCATAGTATTCCATGGTGTATATGTGCCACATTTTCTTAATCCAGTCTATCGTTGTTGGACATTTGGGTTGTTCCAAGTCTTTGCTATTGTGAATAGTGCCGTGCAATAAACATACGTGTGCATGTGTCTTTATAGCAGCATGATTTATACTCGTTTGGGTATATAACCAGTAATAGGATGGCTGGGTCAAATGATATTTCTAGTTCTAGATCCCTGAGGAATAGCCACGCTGACTTCCACAATGGTTGAACTAGTTTACAGTCCCACCAACAGTGTAAAAGTGTTCCTATTTCTCCACATCCTCTCCAGCACCTGTTGTTTCCTGACTTTTTAATGATTGCCATTCTAACTGGTGTGAGATGATATCTCATTGTGGTTTTGATTTGCATTTCTCTGATGGCCAGTGATGATGAGCATTTTTCCATGTGTTTTTTGGCTGCATAAATGTCTTCTTTTGAGAAGTGTCTGTTCATATCCTTTGCCCACTTTTTGATGGGGTTGTTTGTTTTTTTCTTGTAAATTTGTTGGAGTTCATTGTAGATTCTGGATATTAGCCCTTTTTCAGATGAGTAGGTTGCGAAAATTTTCTCCCATTTTGTAGGTTGCCTGTTCACTCTGATGGCAGTTTCTTTTGCTGTGCAGAAGCTCTTTAGTTTAATTAGATCCCGTTTGTCAATTATGTCTTTTGTTGCCATTGCTTTTGGTGTTTTAGACATGAAGTCCTTGCCCATGCCTATGTCCTGAATAGTAATGCCTAGGTTTTCTTCTAGGCTTCTTATGGTTTTAGGTCTAACGTTTAAGTCTTTAATCCATCTTGAATTAATTTTTGTATAAGGTGTAAGGAAGGGATCCAGTTTCAGCTTTCTACATATGGCTAGCCAGTTTTCCCAGCACAATTTATTAAATAGGGAATCCTTTCCCCATTGCTTGTTTTTCTCAGGTTTGTCAAAGATCAGATAGTTGTAGACATGCAGTGTTATTTCTGAGGGCTCTGTTCTGTTCCATTGATCTATATCTCTGTTTTGGTACTAGTCCCATGCTGTTTTGGTGACTGTAGCCTTGTAGTATAGTTTGAAGTCAGGTAGTGTGATGCCTCCAGCTTTGTTCTTTTGGCTTAGGATTGACTTGGCGATGCGGGCTCTTTTTTGGTTCCATATGAACTTTAAAGTAGTTTTTTCCAATTCTGTGAAGAAAGTCATTGGTAGCTTGATGGGAATGGCATTGAATCTATAAATGACCTTGGGCAGTATGGCCATTTTCACGATATTGATTCTTCCTACCCATGAGCATGGAATGTTCTTCCATTTGTTTGTGTCCTCTTTTATTTCCTTAAGCAGTGGTTTGTAGTTCTCCTGGAAGAGGTCCTTCACATCCCTTGTAAGTTGGATTACTAGGTATTTTATTCTCTTTGAAGCAGTTGTGAATGGGAGTTCACTCATGATTTGGCTCTCTGTTTGTCTGTTGTTGGTGTGTAAGAATGCTTGTGATTTTTGTACATTGATTTTGTATCCTGAGACTGCTGAAGTTGCTTATCAGCTTAAGGAGATTTTGGGCTGAGACGATGGGGTTTTCTAGATATACCAGCATGTCATCTGCAAACAGGGACAATTTGACTTCCTCTTTTCCTAATTGAATACCCTTTATTTCCTTCTCCTGCCTAATTGCCCTGGCCAGAACTTCCAACACTATGTTGAATAGGAGTGGTGAGAGAGGGCATCCCTGTCTTGTGCCAGTTTTCAAAGGGAATGCTTCTAGTTTTTGCCCATTCAGTATGATATTGGCTGTGGGTTTGTCATAGATAGCTCTTATTATTTTGAGATACGTCCCATCAGTACCTAATTTATTGAGAGTTTTTAGCATGAAGGGTTGTTGAATTTTGTCAAAGGGCTTTTCTGCATTTATTGAGATAATCATGTGGTTTTTGTCTTTGGTTGTGTTTATATGCTGGATTACATTTATTGATTTGCATATATTGAACCAGCCTTGCATCCCAGGGATGAAGCCCACTTGATCATGGTGGATAAGCTTTTTGATGTGCTGCTGGATTCGGTTTGCCAGTATTTTATTGAGGATTTTTGCATCAATGTTCATCAAGGATATTGGTCTAAAATTATCTTTTTTGGTGTGTCTCTGCCTGGCTTTGGTATCAGGATGATGCTGGCCTCATCAAATGAGTTAGGGAGGATTCCCTCTTTTTCTATTGATTGGAATAGTTTCAGAAGGAATGCTACCAGTTCCTCCTCATGCCTCTGGTAGAATTCAGCTGTGAATCCATCTGGTCCTGGACTCTTTTTAGTTGGTAAGCTATTGATTATTGCCACAATTTCAGAGCCTGTTATTGGTCTATTCAGAGATTCAACTTCTTCCTGCTTTAGTCTTGGGAGGGTGTATGTGTCAAGGAATTTATCCATTTCTTCTAGATTTTCTAGTTTATTTGCGTAGAGGTGTTTGTAGTATTCTCTGATGGTAGTTTGTATTTCTGTGGGATCGGTGGTGATATCCCCTTTATCATTTTTTATTGTGTCTATTTGATTCTTCTCTCTTCTTCTTTATTAGTCTTGCTAGTGGTCTATCAATTTTGTTGATCCTTTCAAAAAACCAGCTCCTGGATTCATTGATTTTTGGAAGGGTTTTTTGTGTCTCTATTTCCTTCAGTTCTGCTCTGATCTTAGTTATTTCTTGCCTTCTGCTAGCTTTTGAATGTGTTTGCTCTTGCTTTTCTAGTTCTTTTTTTTTTTTTTAATGTTTTTTTTTTTTATTATACTCTAAGTTTTAGGTTACATGTGCACATTGTGCAGGTTAGTTACATATGTATACATGTGCCATGCTGGTGCGCTGCACCCACTAACGTGTCATCTAGCATTAGGTATATCTCCCAATGCTATCCCTCCCCCATCCCCCGACCCCACCACAGTCCCCAGAGTGTGATATTCCCCTTCCTGTGTCCATGTGATCTCATTGTTCAATTCCCACCTATGAGTGAGAATATGCGGTGTTTGGTTTTTTGTTCTTGCGATAGTTTACTGAGAATGATGGTTTCCAATTTCATCCATGTCCCTACAAAGGACATGAACTCATCATTTTTTATGGCTGCATAGTATTCCATGGTGTATATGTGCCACATTTTCTTAATCCAGTCTATCATTGTTGGACATTTGGGTTGGTTCCAAGTCTTTGCTATTGTGAATAGTGCCACAATAAACATACGTGTGCATGTGTCTTTATAGCAGCATGATTTATAGTCCTTTGGGTATATACCCAGTAATGGGATGGCTGAGTCAAATGGTATTTCTAGTTCTAGATCCCTGAGGAATCGCCACACTGACTTCCACAATGGTTGAACTAGTTTACAGTCCCACCAACAGTGTAAAAGTGTTCCTATTTCTCCACATCCTCTCCAGCACCTGTTGTTTCCTGACTTTTTAATGATTGCCATTCTAACTGGTGTGAGATGATATCTCATAGTGGTTTTGATTTGCATTTCTCTGATGGCCAGTGATGATGAGCATTTCTTCATGTGTTTTTTGGCTGCATAAATGTCTTCTTTTGAGAAGTGTCTGTTCATGTCCTTCGCCCACTTTTTGATGGGGTTGTTTGTTTTTTTCTTGTAAATTTGTTTGAGTTCATTGTAGATTCTGGATATTAGCCCTTTGTCAGATGAGTAGGTTGCGAAAATTTTCTCCCATGTTGTAGGTTGCCTGTTCACTCTGATGGTAGTTTCTTTTGCTGTGCAGAAGCTCTTTAGTTTAATTAGATCCCATTTGTCAATTTTGGCTTTTGTTGCCATTGCTTTTGGTGTTTTGGACATGAAGTCCTTGCCCACGCCTATGTCCTGAATGGTAATGCCTAGGTTTTCTTCTAGGGTTTTTATGGTTTTAGGTCTAACGTTTAAATCTTTAATCCATCTTGAATTGATTTTTGTATAAGGTGTAAGGAAGGGATCCAGTTTCAGCTTTCTACATATGGCTAGCCAGTTTTCCCAGCACCATTTATTAAATAGGGAATCCTTTCCCCATTGCTTGTTTTTCTCAGGTTTGTCAAAGATCAGATAGTTGTAGATATGCAGCATTATTTCTGAGGGCTCTGTTCTGTTCCATTGATCTATATCTCTGTTTTGGTACCAGTACCATGCTGTTTTGGTTACTGTAGCCTTGTAGTATAGTTTGAAGTCAGGTAGTGTGATGCCTCCAGCTTTGTTCTTTTGGCTTAGGATTGACTTGGCGATGCGGGCTCTTTTTTGGTTCCATATGAACTTTAAAGTAGTTTTTTCCAATTCTGTGAAGAAAGTCATTGGTAGCTTGATGGGGATGGCATTGAATCTGTAAATTACCTTGGGCAGTATGGCCATTTTCACGATATTGATTCTTCCTACCCATGAGCATGGAATGTTCTTCCATTTGTTTGTGTCCTCTTTTATTTCCTTGAGCAGTGGTTTGTAGTTCTCCTTGAAGAGGTCCTTCACATCCCTTGTAAGTTGGATTCCTAGATATTTTATTCTCTTTGAAGCAATTGTGAATGGGAGTTCACTCATGATTTGGCTCTCTGTTTGTCTGTTGTTGGTGTATAAGAATGCTTGTGATTTTTGTACATTGATTTTGTATCCTGAGACTTTGCTGAAGTTGCTTATCAGCTTAAGGAGATTTTGGGCTGAGACGTTGGGGTTTTCTAGATAAACAATCATGTCGTCTGCAAACAGGGACAATTTGACTTCCTTTTTTTCCTAATTGAATACCCTTTATTTCCTTCTCCTGCCTGATTGCCCTGGCCAGAACTTCCAACACTATGTTGAATAGGAGCGGTGAGAGAGGGCATCCCTGTCTTGTGCCAGTTTTCAAAGGGAATGCTTCCAGTTTTTGCCCATTCAGTATGATATTGGCTGTGGGTTTGTCATAGATAGCTCTTATTATTCTGAAATACGTCCCATCAATACCTAATTTATTGAAAGTTTTTAGCATGAAGGGTTGTTGAATTTTGTCAAAGGCTTTTTCTGCATCTATTGAGATAATCATGTGGTTTTTGTCTTTGGTTGTGTTTATATGCTGGATTACATTTATTGATTTGCGTATATTGAACCAGCCTTGCATCCCAGGGATGAAGCCCACTTGATCATGGTGGATAACCTTTTTGATGTGCTGCTGGATTCGGTTTGCCAGTATTTTATTGAGGATTTTTGCATCAATGTTCATCAAGGATATTGGTCTAAAATTCTCTTTTTTGGTTGTGTCTCTGCCCGGCTTTGGTATCAGAATGATGCTGGCCTCATAAAATGAGTTAGGGAGGATTCCCTCTTTTTCTATTGATTGGAATAGTTTCAGAAGGAATGGTACCAGTTCCTCCTTGTACCTCTGGTAGAATTCGGCTGTGAATCCATCTGGTCCTGGACTCTTTTTGGTTGGTAAACTATTGATTATTGCCACAATTTCAGAGCCTGTTATTGGTCTATTCAGAGATTCAACTTCTTCCTGGTTTAGTCTTGGGAGACTGTATGTGTCGAGGAATGTATCTATTTCTTCTAGATTTTCTAGTTTATTTGCGTAGAGGTGTTTGTAGTATTCTCTGATGGTAGTTTGTATTTCTGTGGGATCGGTGGTGATATCCCCTTTATCATTTTTTATTGTGTCTATTTGATTCTTCTCTCTTTTTTTCTTTATTAGTCTTGCTAGCGGTCTATCAATTTTGTTGATCCTTTCAAAAAACCAGCTCCTGGATTCATTGATTTTTGGAAGGGTTTTTTGTCTCTATTTCCTTCAGTTCTGCTCTGATTTTAGTTATTTCTTGCCTTCTGCCAGCTTTTGAATGTGTTTGCTCTTGCTTTTATAGTTCTTTTAATTGTGATGTTAGGGTGTCAATTTTGGATCTTTCCTGCTTTCTCTTGTAGGCGTTTAGTGCTATAAATTTCCCTCTACACACTGCTTTGAATGCGGCCCAGAGATTCCGGTATGTGGTGTCTTTGTTCTCGTTGGTTTCAAAGAACATCTTTATTTCTGCCTTCATTTTGTTATGTACCCAGTAGTCATTCAGGAGCAGGTTGTTCAGTTTCCATGTAGTTGAGTGGCTTTGAGTGAGATTCTTAATCCTGAGTTCTAGTTTGATTGCACTGTGGTCTGAGAGATAGTTTGTTATAATTTCTGTTCTTTTACCTTTGCTGAGGAGAGCTTTACTTCCAACTATGTGGTCAATTTTGGAATAGGTGTGGTGTGGTGCTGAAAAAAATGTATATTCTGTTGATTTGGGGTGGAGAGTTCTGTAGATGTCTATTAGGTCTGCTTGGTGCAGAGCTGAGTTCAATTCCTGGGTATCCTTGTTGACCTTCTGTCTCGTTGATCTGTCTAATGTTGACAGTGGGGTGTTAAAGTCTCCCATTATTAATGTGTGGGAGTCTAAGTCTCTTTGTAGGTCACTCAGGACTTGCTTTATGAATCTGGGTGCTCCTGTATTGGGTGCATAAATATTTAGGATAGTTAGCTCCTCTTGTTGAATTGATCCCTTTACCATTATGTAATGGGCTTCTTTGTCTCTTTTGATCTTTGTTGGTTTAAAGTCTGTTTTATCAGAGACTAGGATTGCAACCCCTGCCTTTTTTTGTTTTCCATTGGCTTGGTAGATCTTCCTCCATCCTTTTATTTGGAGCCTATGTGTGTCTCTGCACGTGAGATGGGTTTCCTGAATACAGCACACTGATGGGTCTTGACTCTTTATCCAACTTGCCAGTCTGTGTCTTTTAATTGCAGAATTTAGTCCATTTATATTTAAAGTTAATATTGTTATGTGTGAATTTGATCCTGTCATTATGATGTTAGCTGGTGATTTTGCTCATTAGTTGATGCAGTTTCTTCCTAGTCTCGATGGTCTTTACATTTTGGCATGATTTTGCAGCGGCTGGTACCGGTTGTTCCTTTCCATGTTTAGCGCTTCCTTCAGGAGCTCTTTTAGGGCAGGCCTGGTGGTGACAAAATCTCTCACCATTTGCTTGTCTATAAAGTATTTTATTTCTCCTTCACTTATGAAGCTTAGTTTGGCTGGATATGAAATTCTGGGTTGAAAATTCTTTTCTTTAAGAATGTTGAATATTGGCCCCCACTCTCTTCTGGCTTGTAGGGTTTCTGCCGAGAGATCCGCTGTTAGTCTGATGGGCTTTCCTTTGAGGGTAACCCGACCTTTCTCTCTGGCTGCCCTTAACATTTTTTCCTTCATTTCAACTTTGGTGAATCTGACAATTATGTGTCTTGGAGTTGCTCTTCTCGAGGAGTATCTTTGTGGCGTTCTCTGTATTTCCTGAATCTGAACGTTGGCCTGCCTTGCTAGATTGGGGAAGTTCTCCTGGATAATATCCTGCAGAGTGTTTTCCAACTTGGTTCCATTCTCCCCATCACTTTCAGGTACACCAATCAGACGTAGATGTGGTCTTTTCACGTAGTCCCATATTTCTTGGAGGCTTTGCTCATTTCTTTTTATTCTTTTTTCTCTAAACTTCCCTTCTTGCTTCATTTCATTCATTTCATCTTCCATTGCTGATACCCTTTCTTCCAGTTGATCGCATCGGCTCCTGAGGCTTCTGCATTCTTCACGTAGTTCTCGAGCCTTGGTTTTCAGCTCCATCAGCTCCTTTAAGCACTTCTCTGTATTGGTTATTCTAGTTATACATTCTTCTAAATTTTTTTCAAAGTTTTCAACTTCTTTGCCTTTGGTTTGAATGTCCTCCCGTAGCTCAGAGTAATTTGATCGTCTGAAGCCTTCTTCTCTCAGCTCGTCAAAATCATTCTCCATCCAGCTTTGTTCCGTTGCTGGTGAGGAACTGCGTTCCTTTGGAGGAGGAGAGGGGCTCTGCGTTTTAGAGTTTCCAGTTTTTCTGTTCTGTTTTTTCCCCATCTTTGTGGTTTTATCTACTTTTGGTCTTTGATGATGGTGATGTACAGATGGGTTTTTGGTGTAGATGTCCTTTCTGGTTGTTAGTTTTCCTTCTAACAGACAGGACCCTCAGCTGCAGGTCTGTTGGAATACCCTGCCATGTGAGGTGTCAGTGTGCCCCTGCTGGGGGGTGCCTCCCAGTTAGGCTGCTCGGGGGTCAGGGGTCAGGGACCCACTTGAGGAGGCAGTCTGCCCGTTCTCAGATCTCCAGCTGCGTGCTGGGAGAACCACTGCTCTCTTCAAAGCTGTCAGACAGGGACACTTAAGTCTGCAGAGGTTACTGCTGTCTTTTTGTTTGTCTGTGCCCTGCCCCCAGAGGTGGAGCCTACAGAGGCAGGCAGGCCTCCTTGAGTTGTGGTGGGCTCCACCCAGTTCGAGCTTCCTGGCTGCTTTGTCTACCTAAGCAAGCCTGGGCAATGGCGGGCGCCCCTCCCCCAGCCTCGTTGCCGCCTTGCAGTTTGATCTCAGACTGCTGTGCTAGCAATCAGCGAGATTCCGTGGGCGTAGGACCCTCTGAGCCAGGTGTGGGATACAGTCTCGTGGTGCGCCGTTTCTTAAGCCGGTCTGAAAAGCGCAATATTCGGGTGGGAGTGACCCGATTTTCCAGGTGCGTCAGTCACACCTTTCTTTGACTCGGAAAGGGAACTCCCTGACCCCTTGCGCTTCCCAGGTGAGGCAATGCCTCGCCCTGCTTCGGCTCGCGCACGGTGCGCGCACACACTGGCCTGCGCCCACTGTCTGGCACTCCCTAGTGAGATGAACCCGGTACCTCAGATGGAAATGCAGAAATCACCCGTCTTCTGCGTCGCTCACGCTGGGAGCTGTAGACCGGAGCTGTTCCTATTCGGCCATCTTGACTCCTCCACTTTTCTAGTTCTTTTAATTGTGATGTTAGGGTGTCAGTTTTGGATCTTTCCTGCTTTCTCTTGTGGGCATTTAGTGCTATAAATTTCCCTCTACACACTGCTTTGAATGCGTCCCAGAGATTCTGGTATGTTGTGTCTTTGTTCTCGTTGGTTTAAAAGAATATCTTTTTTTCTGCCTTCATTTCCTTATGTACCCAGTAGTCATTCAGGAGCAGGTTGTTCAGTTTCCATGTAGTTGAGCAGTTTAGAGTGAGTTTCTTAATCCTGAGTTCTAGTTTGATTGCACTGTGGTCTGAGAGACAGTTTGTTGTAATTTCTGTTGTGTTACATTTGCTGAGGAGAGCTTTACTTCCAAGTATGTGGTCAATTTTGGAATAGGTGTGGTGTGCTGAAAAAAATGTATATTCTGTTGATTTAGGGTGGAGAGTTCTGTAGATGTCTATTAGGTCCCCTTGGTGCAGAGATGAGTTCAATTCCCGGGTATGCTTGTTAACTTTCTGTCTCGTTGATCTGTCTAATGTTGACAGTGGGGTGTTAAAGTCTCCCATTATTATTGTGTGGGAGTCTAAGTCTCTTTGTAGGTCACTGAGGACTTGCTTTATGAATCTGGGTGCTCCTGTATTGGGTGAATATATATTTAGGACAGTTAGCTCTTCTTATTGAATTGATCCCTTTACCATTATGTAATGGCCTTCTTTGTCTCTTTTGATCTTTGTTGGTTTAAAGTCTGTTTTATCAGAGACTGGGATTTCAACCCCTGCCTTTTTTTGTTTTCCATTTGCTTGGTAGATCTTCCTCCATCCTTTTATTTTGAGCCTATGTGTGTCTCTGCATGTGAGATAGGTTTCCTGAATACAGCACACTGATGGATCTTGAGTCTTTATCCAATTTGCCAGTCTGTGTCTTTCAATTGGAGCATTTAGTCCATTTTCATTTAAAGTTAATATTGTTATGTGTGAATTTGATCCTGTCATTATGATGTTAGCTCGTTATTTTGCTCGTTAGTTGATGCAGTTTCTTCCTAGTCTCGATGGTCTTTACAATTTGGCATGTTTTTGCAGTGGCTGGTACCGGTTGTTCTTTCCATGTTTAGTGCTTCCTTCAGGAGCTCTTTTAGGGCAGGCCTGGTGGTGACAACATCTCTCAGCATTTGCTTGTCTGTAAAGTATTTTATTTCTCCTTCACTTATGAAGCTTAGTTTGGCTGGATATGAAATTCTGGGTTGAAAATTCTTTTCTTTAAGAAAGTTGAATATTGGCCCCCACTGTCTTCTGGCTTGTAGAGTTTCTGCGGAGAGATCAGCTGTTAGTGTGATGGGCTTCCCTTTGTGGGTAACCCGACCTTTCTCTCTGGCTGCCCTTAACATTTTTTCCTTCATTTCAACTTTGGTGAATCCGACAATTATGTGTCTTGGAGTTGCTCTTCTCAAGGAGTATCTTTGTGGCGTTCTCTGTATTTCCTGAATCTGAATGTTGGCCTGCCTTGCTAGATTGGGGAAGTTCTCCTGGATAATGTCTTGCAGAGTGTTTTCCAACTTGGTTCCATTCTCCCTGTCACTTTCAGGTACACCAATGAGACGTAGATTTGGTCTTTTCACATAGTCCCATATTTCTTGGAGGCTTTCTTCATTTCTTTTTATTCTTTTTTCTCTAAACTTCCCTTCTCGCTTCATTTCATTCATTTCATCTTCCATCACTGATACCCTTTCTTCTAGTTGATCACATCAGCTCCTGAGGCTTCTGCATTCTTCACGTAGTTCTCGAGCCTTTGCTTTCAGCTCCATCAGCTCCTTTAAGCACTTTTCTGTATTGGTTATTCTAGTTATACATTCGTCTAAATTTTTTTCAAAGTTTTTAACTTCTTTGCCATTGGTTCAAACTTCCTCCTTTAGCTCGGAGTAGTTTGATCTTCTGAAGCCTTCCTCTCTCTACTCGTCAAAGTCATTCTCCGTCCAGCTTTGTTCTGTTGCTGGTGAGGAACTGGGTTCCTTTGGAGGAGGAGAGGCACTCTGCTTTTTAGAGTTTCCAGTTTTTCTGCTCTGTTTTTTCCCCATCTTTGTGGTTTTATCTACTTTTGGTCTTTGATGATGGTGATGTACAGATGGGGTTTTGGTGTGGATGTCCTCTCTGTTTGTTAGTTTTCCTTCTAACAGACAGGACCCTCAGCTGCAGGTCTGTTGGAGTTTGCTGGAGGTCCACTCCAGACCCTGTTTGCCTGGGTATCCGCAGCCGTGTCTGCAGAAGAGCGGATTTTCGTGAAACACGAATGCTGCCGTCTGCTAGTTCCTCTGGAAGTTTTGTCTCAGAGGAGTACCTGGCCGTGTGAGGTGTCAGTCTGCCCCTACTGGGGGGTGCCTCCCAGTTAGGCTGCTCGGGGGTCAGGGGTCAGGGACGCAGTTGAGGAGGCAGTCTGCCCGTTCTCAGATCTCCAGCTGAGTGCTGGGAGAACCACTGCTCTGTTCAAAGCTGTCAGACAGGGACATTTACGTCTGCAGAGGTTACTGCTGTCTTTTTGTTTGTCTGTGCCCTGCCCCCAGAGGTGGAGCCTACAGAGGCAGGCAGGCCTCCTTGAGCTGTGGTGGGCTCCACCCAGTTCGAGCTTCCCGGCTGCTTTGTTTACCTAAGCAAGCCTGGGCAATGGCGGGCACCCGTCCCCCAGCCTTGCTGCCGCCTTGCAGTTTGATCTCATACTGCTGTGCTAGCAATCAGCGAGACTCCATGGACGTAGGACCCTCTGAGCCATGTGCGGGATATAATCTCCTGGTGCGCCATTTTTTAAGCCCGTCGGAAAAGCGCAGTATTAGGGTGGGAGTGACCCGATTTTCCAGGTGCCGCCTGTCACCCCTTTCTTTGACTAGGAAAGGGAACTCCCTGACCACTTGAGCTTCCCGAGTGAGGCAATTCCTCACCCTGCTTTGGCTTGGACATGGTGCGCTCCACCCACTGTCCTGCGCCCACTGTGTGGCACTCCCTAGTGAGATGAACCTGGTACCTCAGATGGAAATGCAGAAATCCCCCGTCTTCTGCGTCACTCACGCTGGGAGCTGTAGACCGGAGCTGTTCCTATTCGGCCATCTTGGCTGCCTCCCTTTTTTATATAGTCTTGATACTATTTTTGTTGTTCAACTATTTTGAAAACATCTCCCAGAGTATGACTTTTTCTTCTATTTTTTATATACTATGCTTTGATGAATAGGAATTCTTAATTTTAATGTGAAATCATCAATCTTTTATCATTTTTACTTTTATGACTTGTTAAAGAAATTTTTATTGCCCTAAATTTGCATTATTTTATAAAAACTAAATATTTTTGTCTTTTCCTTTTGAGTTCAAGATTTTTTTTTTGTTTTTAATTTTTTGAGATGGAGTCCCACTCTCTCTCCCAGGCTGGAGTGCAGTAGCACGATCTTGGCTCACTGCAACTCCTGCCTCCCAAGTTCAAGTGCTTCTTTTGCCTTAGCCTCCCAAGTAGCTGGAATTACAGGCATGCACTGCCACATCTGGCTAATTTTTTATGTTTTTGGTAGAGATGGCCATGTTATATTTGTGGTAGAGACGGCCTTCACCATGTTGACCAGGCTGGTCTCTAACTCCTGAACTCAAGTGATCTGCCTGCCTCGGCCTCTCAAAGTGCTGGGATTACAGGCGTGACCACCGTTCCTGGCCTGAGTTCAGGATTTTAAAATGTTACACAGTCTTGTATTCTCAGAATAACCTCAACTGGTCATGTTGTATTATCTATCTTCTATCTATCTATCTATCTATCTATCTATCTATCCATCCATCCATCTATCATCATATTTACCATTTTAAGTGTACAGTTTAGTAGTGTTAAATATATTCACATTGCCATGAGACAGATCTCTAGAACTTTTTCATCTTACAAAACTGAAACTCTGTACTCATTAAACAACACTCCTTTTCCTCTTCCCTCTAGCTGCCGGTAATTACCATTCTACTTTCTCTTTCTATAAATTTGATTACTTTAGATATTTCATATATGTGGGATTATACAGTATCTTCTGTGACTGGCTTATTTCACTTAGCATAATGTCTTCAAGATTCATTCTTGTAGTATGTTATGGGATTTCTGCCTTTTTAAAGACTGCGTAACATTCCATCCTATGTATATACCACATTTTGCTTATTCATTCATCTGTGGATAGATTTTTGGGTTGCTTCTACTTCTTAGATATTGTGAATAGTGCCGCTATTAACATAGGTGTGCAAATATCTCTTCAAGACCCTGCTTTCAATTATTTTGAATATACACATGGAAGTGGGATTGCGGATCATATGGTAGATCTACTTTTAATTTTTTAAGGGAAGTCCATTGTATTAATCAGTGTTCTCTAGAGGGACAGAACTAATAGGATATATATGTATACATGAAAGGAAGTTTATTATGGAGAATTGACCTACCCATTCACAAGGTGAAGTTGCACGATAAGTGGTCTGCAGGTTGAGGAGCAAGGAAGCTAGTAGCAGCTCAGTCTGAATCCCAAAACCTCAAAAGTAGGGAAGCCAACAATGCAGGCTTCAGTTTGTGGCTGAAGGCCCAAGAGCCATTGGTATAAGTCCAAGATTCCAAAAGCTGAAGAACTTGGGGTCTCATATTGGAGGGCAGGAAGTATCCAGCACAGGAGAAAGAAGAAGATCAGAAGATTCAGCAAGTAAGGGTCTCCCACTTTCTCTTGCCTGCTTTATTCTAGCCATACTGACAATTGATTGGATGGTGCCCAGTCTCATTGAGGGTGGATCTACCTCTCTCAGTCCACTGACTAACAGGTTAATCTCCTTTGGCAACACCCTCACAGACACTCCCAGCAACAATACTTTGTATTCTTCAACCAATCAAGTTGACACTTAATATTAACCATCACATTCATACTGTTTTCTATAGCAATTGCACTGTTTTATAATCCCACCAATAGTGCACAAGGGTTTCAGTTTTGCCATGTTATTGCCAACACTTGTGTTCTGTTTTTTTTTTTTATAGTAGTTTTTTTTTAAATAGTAGTTATCCTCATGGCTATGAGGTGATATTTAATTGTGGATCTGATTTCCATTTCTTAATGATTAGTCATGTTGAAGATCTTTTTATGTATTTGGCCATTTGTATATCACTTTTGGAAAAATGCTTACTGAAGTGCCATGCTCATTTTTAAATCAGATTGGGAGGAGTTCTTTATGCAGCTCTTATTTATTATTAACTCTCTATTGGATATATACTTATTTGGCAATTTGTATATAATCTTTGGAAAATGTCTATTCCAGCCCTATGTTCACTTTTTAATCAGATTATTTAAAGCAGTTCTTTATATATTTTGGATATTAACTATCAGATTTATAATTTGCAAATATTTTCTCCCATTCTGTAAATTGCTTTTTCACCCTGTTGAGCATGTCCTTTGATACACAAAAGTTCTTAAACTTAATGCAGGCCCCATTTGTCTATTTTTGCTTTTCGTTGCCTGTACTTTTGGTGTCGTATCCAAGAAATCATTGTCAAGACCAATTTCAGGAAGCTTTCCTCCTGTGTTTTCTTTTGGGGGATTATGTTTAAGTCTTTAATCCATTTGAGTTTATTTTTGTGTATAGTGTAAGATAAGCATCCAAAACATTCATTTGCATGTGGATAGTTTTCCCACCACCTTTTATTAAAGAAACTATTCTTTCCTTATTAAGAAGTCTTGGAATTCTCATTAAAGGTCTTCTTATCATGTACATTAGGGTGTATTTCTGAGCTCTGTATTATATGTCATTAGTCTATTTGTCTTTATACTAGTAACATAACATTTTGATTACTGTAGCTTGTAATATGCTTTGAAATCTTGAAGTGTGAGTTTTCTAATTTCATTCTACTGTTTCACAGTTGCTTTGGCTATTTGGAGTCCCTCGAGGTTCTATATGAATTATAGATTGATTTTTTTTCTATTTATTTCTGCAAAAAAATGCCATTGGCATTTTGGTAGGAATTACATAAAATCTGTAGCCACTTTGGGTAATATGGATATCTTAACAACATTAAAGCTTCCAATCTATGAACATGAGATGTCTTAACATTTATCTGTGCCTTTAATTTCTTTCAGCAGTGTTTTGTGGTTTTAATTGTAAATGTTTTTCACTTCTTGGTTAGGTTTATTTCTAAGTATTTTGTTCATTTTAATGCTATTGTAAATGAAATTATCTTAATTTCCTTTTCATTATTGTTAGTATATAAAAACAGAACTAATTTTTAATACTGATTTTATATCCTGCAAATTTGAATTTGTTTATTAGTTCTAACAGTGTGTGTGTGTGTGTGTGTGTGTGTAATTTTTAGAATTTTCTACATAATGCATGAGCTCTTCTGTAAACAGAGATAATTTTATTTCTTCATTTTCAATTTTGATGACTTTTATTATTCTTGCCTAATTGCACTGGCTAGTACATACAGTATTATGTTGAATAGAAGTGGGAGAGTGGGCATACTTGCCTTCCTCTTGATCTTAGAGGAAAGTCTTTCAGTCTTTCACCATTGACTACAATGGTTGCTGTGGACTTTTCATATACCACCTTTTTTATATTGAAGTAATTTTCTTCTGTTTCTAGTTTTTATCATAAAAGGCTACTGGAATTTTGTCAAATGCTTTTTCTGCATCAGTTAAGATGATCATGTAGTTTTTTGTTCTTTATTCTGTTAATGTGGTGTATTACATTGATTGATTTTCATATGTTGAACTATCCTTGTATCCCAAACATAAATACCAGCTGGTGATGGTGTATAATTCTTTTAGTGTGCCATTGATTTCAGTTTGCCAGTATTTTGTTGAGGATTTTTGCATCAATATTCATCAGGGATATTGATCTATAACGTTCTCTTCTTTGTATAGTGTTTTGATGTGCTTTGGTGTTGGGGTAATTCTGATTTCCATAGAATGAACTTGGAAGTATTTTTTCCTTTTAATTTTTCACAAGTGTTTCAGGAAGACTGGTGCTAATTCTGTTTTAAATGTTTGATCAGATTCTGTAGTTGAACCATTGGGACTTATGCTTTAATTTTGTTGTGAGGTTTTTTGATTATTGATTTAACCTGTTTGCTAGTTATTGGTCTATTTAGATTTTCTATTTTTTCATGATCCAGTCTTGATAGTTCATGTATTTCCAAGAATGTGTCAATTACTTCTAAATTTTTCAATTTCTTGGCCTGCAGTTGTTCATAATATTCTTATACTTTTTTCATTTCTGCAGCATCAGTTGTATTGTCCCCTCTTTCATCTGATTTTGTTATTTGAGTTTTATTTCTCTTTTTCGTAGTTAATCTAGCTAAGGGTTTTTCAATTTTGTCAATCTTTAAAAAAAAAAACTCTTAGTTTCATTGATATTTTTGTAATGTTTTTGTATTCTCTATTTTATTTATGTGTGCTCTAAATTTTATTACTCCTACCTTTTCCTAGCTTTGGGTTTAGGTTTTTCTTGTTTTTATTTGTTCTTTGAGGTATAAAGTTAGGTTGTTGACTTGAGATCTTTCTTTTTGTAAATATATATGTTTACAGCTATAAACTTCCTTGTTAGTACTACTTTCACTATATCATAAGTTTGGTATGTATGTTCTGTTTTTATTTTCATTTGTCTCAAGTTTTTTTTTTTTTAATTTCTCCTATGGTCTCCTCTTTGACCCACTGTTAAGTGAAAAATGTGTTAATTTCTACTTATTTGTGAATTTTCAGTTTTCCTCTGCTGTTGATTTTAAATTTCATTCCATTGTAATTGAAAAATATGCTTTGCATGATTTCAAGCTTTGTGAATTTGTTAAGACTTGTTTTGTGTCCTAAAATGTGGTCTGTCCTGGAGATAGTTTCATGTTCACTTGAAGAGAATGTATATTCATTGTTATTGAGTGACATATTCTGTATGTCTTTTAAGTCCAGTTGGTCTATAGTGTTGTTCAAGTTAGTTCCTTGTTGACCTTTTGTCTGGTTGTTCTATACATTATTAAAGATGTGGTATTGAAGTCTCATATTATTTTCTTTCTGTTTTATTATCTTTTGTTAACACATTTCAGGATTGTTGTTTAATGCTAGTTTGTTTAGGTTTTTTACACATTCTAAATAATAAACTAGTAGAATGTTAGAAGTATTATTTTCATTATTGTGCAATTCTAAGTACTCTCTTCTCTATTTTTATTCCTTTTTTTCAACCAATAAGTTTTTCAGAAATGTTTTAATAATTACCTTAGCCATTAATCTGTAACTCAATTTTTTGGTTAGTAAGTATATTTTAATAACTATTCTATAACATAGTATATGGTCCATTTTAGTCTGTGTTTCATAAGTTAAAGCTAATTTTGAAGAAGAAGAAGAAGAAATACCTGAGATGAGAAAAGGTCATTGAGTAGGTGGTAGGGTAAATATTCTAGGTAAAGTCTGGGAGAAATGAAACATCTGTTCTGAGTTCAAGTGACTCCTTAAGAAGGGGTTGGGAAAGATGAAACTACATGGCTGTATCATATGAAGGCAGTTACATCTTATTTAATAAGTTTAAAATTATTGTACGATCTATATAGAGACACTGGAAGATGAAAGTGTACATAGTTAAAAGATTTGTTGCCAGATCAGTTTGGCATTAACGAAGAATGTAAATTAAATGGGTACTAGTCTGAGACTGCTGTGAAAGAAGAAAACTTCAGGAATTGAAGCAAAAGTATAAAGGTACAAGCTAAAGCAGTGGCAGATATAAAGGAGAAATAGTAAGAGATATGGAGAATGTTACAAAAACAAACAACTACAACAATCAGTACAGGGCAAAACAAACCAAATCACACAAAAAACAAATTATCCAGTCTCTCAAAGGTCATTTATTCTTCATGTGCTCGATTTTGTTTTTTGTTTGTTTGTTGTTGTTTTTAAATCTTTTTAATTTTTGTGGGTACATAGTGGTATATATATTTAAGGTGTATATGAGATGTTTTGATATAGGCATGCAATGTGTAATAATCACATCATGGAAAATATGGTATCCATCCCCTCAAGCATTTATCCTTTATGTTACAATCTAGTTAAACAATTTTAGTTATTTTTAAATATACAATTAAATTATTATTGACTAGAGTCATCCTGCTGTGCTATCAAATACTAGGTCTCATTTCGTTATTTCTAACTATTGTTTTTATATTCCCATTAACTAGCTCTATATTACCCCAAGCACCTACTACCCTTCTCAGCAGCCTCCAGTAACCATCTTTCTACTCTCTGTCTTATGAGCTCAATTGTTTTGATTTTTAGATCCCGCAAATAAGTGAGAAGATGCAATGTTTGCCTTTCTGTGCCTGGCTTACTTTACTTACTATAATGACCTTCAGTTCCATCCATATTGTTTTAAATGGCAGGATCTCATTTTTCTTTATGGCTGAATAGTACTCCATTATGATCAGTATCACATTTTCTGTATCTATTCTACGTGGTTTTCCAATCTTGACTGTTGTAAACAGTGCTGCAACAAACATGGGGTGCAGATATGTCTTTGATATACTGATTTCATTTCTTTTTTGTATATACCTAGTAGATATACCTAGTAGTAGGATTGTTGGATCTTACGATAGCTCTATCTTTAGTTTTTTGAGTAATCCCCAAAGTGTTCTCCGTAGTGATTGTACTAATTTACATTTCTACTAAGAAGGTCCAAGGGTTTATTTTTCTTCACATTCTTGCTAGCATTTGTGTTGCCCGTCATTCCGATATAAGCCATTTGAACTGGGGTGATGCTATATCTCATTGCAGTTTTGACTTGCATTTCTCTATTGGTGATATTGAGCACCTTTTCATATGCCTGTTTGCCATTTTTATGTCTTCTTTTGAGAAATGTCGATTCAGATCTTTTGCCCATTTTTTCAATGAGGTTATTAGATTTTTTTTCCTACAGAGTTGATTGAGCTACTTATGTATTCTGATTATGAATCCCTTGTCAGATGGGTGGTTTGCAAATATTTTCTCTTATTCTGTGGGTTGTCTCTTCCCTGAGTTGATTGTTTCCTATGCTGTGTAGAAGTTTTTTAACTTGATGTGATCTGATTTGTCCATTTTTTCTTTGATTGCCAATGGGATATTACCTAAGAAATTTTTGCTCAGACCAATGTCCTGGAGACTTTCCCAAAAGTTTTCCTTTTTTCATAGTTTCATAATTTGAGGACTTTTGTTTAAGTAATCCATTTTGATTTGATTTTTGTATATAGCAAAAGATAGGGGTCTAGTTTCATTCTTTTGCATATGGATATAGAGTTTTCCCACTACCATTTATTGAACAGACTGTCTTTTCCCCAGTATATGTTTTTGGCACCTCTGTTGAAAATGAGTTCACTGGAGGTGTATAGGTTGGTTTCTGGGTTCTCTATTTTGTTCCATTGGGCTATGTGTCTACTTTTATGCCAGTACTATGCTATTTTGGTTACTATAGGTCTGTAGTATAATTCAAAGTCAGGTAATGTAATTTCTCCAGTTTTGTTCTTTTTGCTTAGGATAGTTTTGGCTATTCTGGGTCTTTTGTGGTTCCATATATATTTTAGGATTGTTTTTCCTATTTATGTGAAGAATCCATTGGTATTTTGATAAGGATTGCATTGAAACTGTAGAATGCTTAGGGTAGGATGCACATTTTAACAATTTGAATTATTCCAATCCATAAACATGGAATATCTTTTCATTTTTTGGTGTCCTCTTTAATTATCTTTCATCAGTGTTCTATAGTTTTTATTACAGTCATCTTTTACTTCTTTGGCTAATTCCCAGGTATTTAATTTTTTTTGTGGCTACTGTAAATAGGGTTACTTCTTTATTTCTTTTTCAAATTATTCACTTTGACATACAGAAATTCTACTGATTTTTACGTTGATTTTATATCCTTCAATTTACTGAATTATCAATTCTAATAGTTTTTTTGTGTGGCATCTTCAGGTTTTTCTAAATATAAGACCATATAATCTGCAAACAAGTACAATTTGACTCCTTTCTTTTTGATTTGGATGCCTTCTATACCTTTCTCTTGTCTTTTGTCTGATTCTTCTAGCTAGAACTTCCAGTACTATGTTGAATAACAGTGGTGAAAGTAGGCATCTTATTGTGTTCCAGATCTTAGAGGAAAGGCTTTCAGTATTTACCTATTCAGTATGATACTACCTGTGGGTCTATCATAAATGGCTTTTATTATGTTGAAATATGTTTCTTTTATACCCACTTTTTAAAGGTTTTTTTGATGAAGAGATGTTCAATTTGATCAAATGGTTTTTCAGCATCAATTGAAATGATATGGTTTTGGTCTTTATTTTGTTGATCTGATTTATCACATTGATTGTTTTGCATATGTCGAACCATCCTTGCATTCCAAGGATAAATCTTACTTGATCATGATGAATAATCTTCTTAATGTATTGTTGAATTCAGTTTTCTAGTATTTTGTTAAGGTTTTTTGAATCAATATTCATCAGAGATATTGGCCTGTAGCTTTCTTTTTTTGATGTGTCTTTGTCTGCTTTTGTTATCAGGGTAATATTGGCCTTGTAGAATGAGTTTGGACCTATTCCCTACTTCTCTGTTTTAAAAATATTTCGAATAAGATTGGTATTAGTTTTTCTTTAAGTGTTTGGTGGAATTTATCAGTGAAGCCATTGGGTCCTGGGCTTTTTTTTTTTTTTTTTTTCTGGGAGACTTTTTATTATGACTTCAGTCTCCTTACTTTCCTTACTTGTTATTGTTCTGTTCAGGTTTTGGATTTCTTCAAGTTTCAATCATGGTAGATTGTATATGTCTAGGTATTTGTTCATTTCTTGTAGATTTCTTAACTTATTGGCATATAGGTGCTTATGTTAGCTGCTAATGATTCTTTGAATTTCTGCAGTATCAGTTGTAATGTCTTGTCTTTCATCTCTGATTTTATTTATTTGGCTCTTCTCTTTTTATTTATTAGTCTGCCTAAAGGTTTGTTGATTTTGTTTAACTTTTCAAAAACCTAACTTTGTTTCATTGAGCTTTTGTATTTTTGTAATTTCAATTTCATTTATTTCTGCTTTGATCTTTATTATTTCTTACCTTCTACTAATTTTGTGTTTGATTTGCTCTTGCTTTTCTAATTCTTTAAGATGCATTGTTAGATTGTTCATTTGAAGTTTTTCTTTTTTTTTTTTTTAATGGAAGCACTTACAGCTATAAACTTCTTAGTACTGCATTTTCTGTATCCCATAGGTTTGATATGTTGTGCTTCCCTTATCAATTTTTCAAGAAAAATTTTCAATTTTCTTCTTAATTTCTGACCCACCATTCATTTCAGGAGCATATTTTAAATTTTCATGTGTTTCTATATTTTCTCAAATTCCCCTTGTGGTTGATATCTAGTTTTATTACATTGTAGTCAGAGAAAATGCTTAATATTATTTCAATTTTTTGAATGTTTTTAGACTTGTTTTGTGACATAAAATATGGTCCATCCTTGAGAATGATCCATGTGATGAGGAACATGATGTGTATTCTGCAGCTGTTGGATGAAAAGGTTCTCTATATGTCTATTAGGTTCATTTGGTCTATCTATAGATTAAGTCCAATGTTGCTTTGTTGATATTCTGTCTAGAAGATCTGTCCAGTCCTGGAAATGGGATGTTCAAGTCTTCAGCTATTATTGTATTGGGATCTGTTTCTCTCTTTATCTCTGATAATATTTGTGTTATATATCTGGATGCTTCAGTGTTGGGCGCATATGTATTTAAAATTGGGTGTTCCAGTCTCCAGTATAATTGTATTGGGATCTGTCTCTGTCTTTAGCTCTGATAATATTTGTTTTATGTATCTGCAAGCTCCATTGTTAGGTGGGTATGTATTTAAAATTGCTAGACTCCCTTGCTTAATTGACCCCTTTATCTTTATATAGTGACCTTCTTTGTCTCTTTTGATAGTTTTTGTCTTGAAACCTATTTTGTCTGATATAAGTATACCTGCTCCTACTCTTATTTGGTTTCCATTTGCATGGGATATTGTATTAATCAGGGTCCTCTATTGGGACAGAACTAATGGAATATATATATATTAATAACTCACACGATCACAAAGTCCCATAATAGGCCATCTGCAGGCTGAGGATCAAGGAGAGCCAGTCCAAGTTCCAAAACTGAAGAACTTGGAGTCTGATGTTCCAGGGCAAGAAGTATCCAGCAGGAGAGAAAGATGTAGGCTGGGAGGTTAGGCCGGTCTCTCTTTACACATTTTTCTGCCTACTTACATTCTATCTGCACAGGCAGCTGATGAGATTGTGCTCACCCAGAGTAAGGGTGGGTCTGCCTTTCTCAGCCCACTGACCCAAATGTTAATCTCTTTTGGCAGCACCCTCACACACACACCCAGGATCAATACTTTGTATCCTTCAATCCAATCAAGTTGACACTCAGTATTAACCATCACAGTTATCTTTTTTCATCCCTTTATTTTCAGTGTGTGCTTGTCTTTATAAGTTAAGTGTGTTTCTTCTAGGCAACAGAACATTGGGCTTTGTTTTTTAATCCATTCAGCCTCTCTGTGTCTTTTGATTGGAGGGTTTAGTTTATTTGCATTTAGTGTTATTATTGATAAGTAAGGACTTTCACCTGTCATTTTCTTATTTTTTTTCTAGTTGTTTTGTGTTCTCTTCTTTCTTTCCTTCCTTCTTCCATTTGTTGAAGGTGATTTTCTCTGTTGATATGATCTAGTGTTTTGCTTTTCTTTGTTATTTTTTGTATCTCTTGTATTTTCTTGTTTGTGGTTACTAAGAGGCTTGCAGATATTATCTTATAACTCATTATTTCAGCCTTTTAACAACTTAACACTGTTTGCATAAACAAGGAAGTAAGCAAAAAGACAACTCTTAAATTCTATGCTTTAACTTTGTTCCTCTGCTTTTTAACTTTTTGTTGTGTCTATATATGTCTTCTTGTATGTCTCATGGTGCTAATAAAGACATACCTGAGCTTGAGTAAATTATAAAGGAAAGAAGTTTAATTGACTCATAGTTCCACGTGGCTGGGGAGGCCTCACAATCTTAGTGGAAGGTGAATGATTAGCAAAGTCATATTTTACATGGAGAGAATATGTGCAGGGGAACTCCCCTTTATAAAATCATCAGATCTTCTAAGACTTATTCACTATCACAAGAACAGCCTGGGAAATACCTGCCTTCATGATTCAATTACCTCCCACCAGGTCCCTCCACAACATGTGGGAATTATGGGAGCTATAATTCAAGATGAGATTTGGGTGGGGACACAGCCAAACCATATCATGTTTTTTTTTTTTATTGGTTAATTTTTTAGTCTTTCTACTTAAGATTATTTTACACACCACAGTTACACAGTTATAGTGTTATAATATTCTGTGTACTTGCTACTATCAGTGAGTCAGTGAGTTTTGTACCTTCAGATGATTTCTTATTGCTCCTTAATGGGTCCTTTTTTTTTTTTTTTTCAGAGACAGAGTCTCACTCTGTCATCCAGGCTGGAGTGCAGTGGCACGATCTCTGCAACCTCCTCCTCCTGGGTTCAAGCGATTATCTTGCCTCAGCCTTCTGAATAGCTGGAACTACAGGCACGTGCCATCGCACCCAGCTAATTTTTGTATTTTTAGTAGAGACGGGGTTTCACCATGTTGGCCAGGCTGGTCTCAAACACCTGACCTCAGGTGATCTGCCCACCTCAGCCTCCCAAAGTGCTGGAATTATAGACGTGAGCCACCGCACCAGGCAAGGTCCTTTTCTTTCTGATTTGAGATATTCTCTTTAGCATTTCTCATAGGAGAGGTCTTGTGTTGATGAAATCCCTAAGATTTTGTTTGTCTGAGAAATTCTTTATGTCTTATTCATGTTTGAAGGATACTTTCACCAGGTATATTATTCCAGGGTAAAAAGTTTTTTTTTTCCTTCAGCATTTTATATATGTCATGCCACTCTTTTGTGTCCTGGAAAGATTTCACTGAAAAGTCTGCTGCCGGACATATTGGAGCCACTTTGTGTGGTGTTTGTTTCTTTCTCTTGCTGCTTTTGGGATTCTTCCTTTATCCTTAACCTTTGGGAGTTTGATTACTACATGCCTTGAGGTAGTCTTCTTTGGGTTAAATCTGTTTGGTGTAGTATAACTTTTTTATCCTTGGGTATTGGTATCTTTCTCTAGGTCTGGGAAGTTCTCAGTTATTATCTCTTTGAATAAACTTTCTACTCCTCCTGTCTCTTTTTTGCCTCCTTTTTAAAAGGCCAGTAGCTTTTAGATTTGCCCTTTGGGGGCTTTTTTCTAGATCCTGTAGGCATGCTTTTTTGTTTTTCATTCTTTTTTCTTTTGTCTTCTCTGAATGTCCGTTTTCAAATAGCTTGTCTTCAAGCTCACTAATTCTTTATTCTGCATGATCAACTCTGCCATTAAAAGACTGATGCATTCTTCAGTATGCCAATTGTATTTTTAGCTCCAGAATTTTTGTTTGATGCTTTTAAATTATTTTAATTTTTTGTTACATTTATTTGATAGAATTCTGAATTACTTTCTGTGTCATCTTCAATTTGAGTTCCCTCAAAACAGCTATTTTTACTTCTCTGTCTGTATGCTCACATATCTCTGTTTCTCCAGGCTTGGTTCCTGGTGCTTTATTTAGTTCATTTGTTAAGGTCATGTTTTCCTAATGGTCTTGATACTTGTAGATGTTCATTGAACATTGAAGCATTGAAGAGTTAGGTATTTATTTTAGTCTTCACTGTCTGGGCTTGTTGGTACCCATTCTTCTTGGCAAGACTTTCCAGATATTTCAGAAAACTCGAGTGTTGTGATCTAAACTGTATCTACTTTAGGGGCCAAAGCCCACCAATGCTGTGGTTCTTGCAGACTAGTAGAGATACTGCCTTGATAGTCTTGGACAAAATCTGTAAGAGTTCTTTGGATTACCTGGCAGAGACTCTTGTTCTATTTCCTTACTTTCTCCCAAACAAACAGGGTCTCTCTTTCTTTGTTCTGAGCCACCTGAAGCTTGGGATGCGGTGACACAAGCCTGTCTTTGGCTATCATCACTAGGACTGTGTGACTGTAGTAAGACTAGTTTAAATGCTCCCTCTGTGGGTGGGCATCAGCTGAGTTTGGTTTGGTTTTACTTTCTGCTATAACAGGGCAGCACTGAGTTCAATACCTCACCATTGCTGCACTCCCCTCTCCCCAGCACACGGAAATGTTCTCAGCACCACAGTGTAGCTGCAAGGGGATTAGGGAGGGGTGACACTGGTGATTCAAGACTGATTTTCTTAGTTCTTCAGTGCCTCTTTTGATGATATGAAGTTAAAGCCAGGTACTGTGAGTGCTCATCTGATTTTCAGTTCTTATGAAGATGCTTTGTGTGTGTGTATAGATAGTTGTTAAAATATAGATAGTTGTCTTTGCAGGAGGGATGATCAATGGAGCCCTCTATTTCATCATCTTGCTCCGCCTTCCACCAGTCTTATCTATGTCCTAAATTTTGTGAAGGATTACTCATCTCTAATAATCTCTTGAGATCATGTTTAACTGTAATGTGGATGAGTTTTATTATTCTATGTCTCTCAAAATGTAAGAATACAGTTAAAAGAAGCAATCTTTAAAATTGATCTTTTTTGGTAACTTTCTTTTCTGATATAATTTCAACTGCATGTAAAAGTTGCGAGAGTAGTCAAGGTGGGGTGGCTCATGCCTGCAATTCCTGCACTTTGGGAGGTCAATTCTGGAGGATTGCTTGAGCCCAGTAGTTTGAGAACAGCTTAGGCAACATAGTGAGACCCTGTCTAAAAAAATGAAAAAACGTTAGCTGAGCATGGTGGCACATATGTGTATTCCTAGCTACTTGGAAGGCTGAGATGGGAAGATTGCTTGAGTCCAGGAATTTGAGGCTTAAGTGAGCTCTGATCACTCCACTGCACTCCAAACTGGGTGACAAAGTGAGACCCTGTCTCAAAAAAAAAACAAAACAAAAACAAAACAAAAAATGTAGTTCAGAACTCCTGTTTACTTTAATCAGAAGCTAACTTTATTCTATTCACTTTCTTACCCTCTTTCTCATTCTCTTTCTGTTTCATATTCTAGGTCTTTCTTTCTGAGTCATTTGAGAGTAAGTTGGAGACATTGTTGGAAAAATTATGCCCTCTTTCCTCTAAATACTTGAGAGTGAATTTCTTAATAAGAATATTCTTTTACACAACCACAATATGATGATCAAAATCAGGAAACTTCACAATGATACATATTATCTAATCTATGCTTCACTCACATTTCAACAGTTGTACCAATAATGTCATTATAGGTATATTTTCCTCTTCTAAAATTTAATTAAGAATCATAATTGAGATTAGTTGTTTTAATTCTAGTCTCTTTTAACGTGAAATCGTTTCTTAGCCTTTGTCTTTTATTGACCTTGCATTGTTTCAATAAACTTTGTATTTTAGAATAGTTTTATGTTTATAGAAAAGTTACAATAGTACAGAAAATTCCTGTATTCCTGTCACACCAGTTTCTTCTAACATTAACATCTTGTGTTACCATGGTATTTAATACATTTGTCACAACTAGAAAGACAACAGTGGTACATATATTACTATTAGCTAAATTTCAAACTTTACTTGAATTTCACTCATTTTTCACTAATGTTCTTTTTATACCAGAATTCATTCAGAATTCATTTCAGGATGTACACTTTCTTTTGATCTGATATGTTACAATTTCTTAGTCTTTCCTTGTTTTGTATGACCTTGATAGTTTTGAGGAAGTATTAGATTTTTTGTAGAATGTCCCTAAATTTGCATTTGTGTGATGTTTTTCTCATGGTTAGATTGGAGTTAAGGATTTGGGTAGAAGGCCACAGGAGTGAAGTGTCTTTCTCCTTACATCTTATCAGGAATACATATTAATATGACTTATCACTGGTGATATTAACCTTGATCACCTTGCCAAGGGTGTTTACCATGAAATTGTTCAACATAATGGTGTATTTATCTTTTTGTAGTTGTGTCAATTTTGCTTTATGTATTTTGGAGCTATAATAGTAGATGCATGCAGTATTGAGGTTACTATATCTTCCCAATTAATTGAATGTTTTGTCATTACACAATAACTATTTCTTGCAACCCTTTTCAATTTAAAATCTGTATGTATGCTATTAATGTAGGTGTACTGATTTTCAATAGAATTAGTTTTATTTTCTGAGATATCTTTCCATTCTTTTCTTTTGAATTTTTTGAATCAAATTTTGTTATCTATTTTAAATAGTTCATGGCTGAATTTAATTTTTATATAATTACATACAATATTTGCATTTAATCTGGAGCATTTAGTTCATTTACATTTACATCAGTAACTATTCCTCTAGGTTTATTTCTACTACCTACTTAGTGATCCTCATCTGCCCCATTCTTTCTTTAGTCTTAGTTCCTTTTGAACTGATTGCATTTTAGAAACATAATTTCAAAAATTTTCTTTTCTAAACTTGAAACTATAAAGTACTTAAATAATTGTAGTTTCTTTGAAGTTTTTAAACATATTTACTCATTTTTTATGAAATTCTATTTTTTCAGCATATTTAATTTCTTCCTGAACAGTAAGAGACCATGAGAAGGCTTTAACTTAAATTATCACCTTGCTGATTAATGCTATCATATTCATTTGTATTTGTTATTTTAGTTTTTAACATTAGTGTCACTGATTTAAGATTAACTCGTATTTAGTATTTCCTTGGCTTCTCTCCTTCTTTCTTTTTTCATCTTAGATCTCCCATCTGTGATCATTTCCTTCAGTTTGAAACCCATTCTTTAGAAACTTCTCAAGCAAAGATTCTTGAATATAAATGCATTATTTCTTATTTGTTTCAAAGTATCTATAGTTTATGCTTGTTTTTAGAATAGATCTTTACTGTTTACAATCTTATATTTATAATTATTTTCTTTCATACCACTGAAGATATTGTTTCAATTATCTTTCAGTTTCCAGTGTTGCTTCCAAGTAGTCAGCTCTTAGTTTAATCTTTGTAGATCATATCTTTGTCGATCATCTGTCTTTTCTGTCTGGTTCCTCTGGAGATATATTCTTCATCTCTCACGTTTTTCCATGCTCCTATCATGTGCCCAAGTGTAAATCTATTTTTATTATGCTGCTTGGGATTCACTGAGCTTTCTGAATCTAGAAATTGAGGTGGTTCACCATTTCTAGAAGTTTCCCAGCCATTATCTCTTCAAACATTGCATCTGCTCTATTTATTCCTTCTTCTACTGGAACTCTGATTAAACATATTATTAGACCTTTTACATTTGTGTTCTGTGACTCCAAACCTCTTCATAATAGTTCCCATGTCTGCTTCTCCATGCTGCATTATGGATAATTTATTTATATCCTTCTTTCAGTTCACTAATTCTCTCTTCACCTTTGTCTAATCCAAACATATATAGTCAACTGATTTTTTACAAGGGAACCAGGAGGACAGGATGGGGAGCAGATAGTCCCTTTAATAAATGGTGCCGAGAAAACTAGACTTCCACATGCAAAAGAATTAAATTGGACCCTTACTTTACACCATACACAGAAATCAGCTCAAAATGGGTAAAAGACCTAAACATAAGACCAGAAACAATGAAACTCCTGGAAGAGAAAATAGAGGAAAAGTGCCTGGACATTGGCACTGGCAATGACAGCTTGGATTTACTTCTGGGCTCCCTATTCTGTTCCAAATATTCTTGCTTATTTTTTATAATCCTTTGCTAGTTATCCATATGTCCATTTCCTCTTTACATTTTAAATATATTATAAATGCTTATATTTTGTATACTATTCATAATATTTACAACATTCTAAATCTGTGTTTGATTCTGCAACCTGTTGTTTTGGAGAGTCTAACTCATGGTGGGTGCATTTTTCCTTGTTTATTTTTTAATATTATAAAACGAGCTTCACATTTACTTTTAAAACTTTAAATGTGAGATATTTTGAGATGTAATTTGAAGGGAAACTTTTCTGGAGAGGATTTGCATATACCAGGCAACCATGATCACTTGAATTAAATGTAATTCTTGGTTTGAAGTTTTGGTAACTACTCAAGTGATGTCAATTAAGACAGCAAGCCTGGTTGAGCCTTAAATTATTAGGATACATTTTTTTCTCTTTCACTCATCTCCACCTTTTAAGGCAGCGATTTATTTTTTAGGCTCATAAAGTGAATGTTTATATATAACTCATGCTACAATCAGGCAATCTAGTTAATGAGATATAAGCTTTATGCTGTGGGTTGGCTGTTTATTGAATTTCCCACCTTGTGAGTCCCACCTCCTCTTGATTTTCTCTCTAATTTTTGTGCCCTAAGTAACCATAAAAATCAGAAGCCTAAGATCAAGTTCTCCAGTGTTCAGTTCTGCTTATCTTTCTGACTTCACTTTAAGCTTCTGATTGGTCCTTATTTTCTTGCAATGTTATCTGAGCATTTATAAAGATCTTTGCATATTTTATTCAGCATTGTAAAGTGTGTTCAGGTTGATGCTCAGTCAGGGTGTTTGGTTTTCCATAATGCTGAATATATTAAACTCATAGTTCACAAATAGAAAGAAGAAGAGAAAGGTACAGCTGAATTAGAAAAATTAACTGATTAAGGATGCTGGAAGGATGCTGAAAACGATAATGTAGTAATATAAGACAAAATGTGCCATGCTATATTGAGTTCTTAGTCATAAGGACCTAGGGAAGATGGAAGATCTTGACATGTGCAATGACCCTGGTTAAGAGTAAATACATGGTGGAAACAAGAATTAAGCAATGCATGACTGTATATTACATACTTACCTATAAACTAAACACCTGCTGTATACAGACATTTAACTCTGTGCTTACAAGAGGTTTATGTCGTGAATATTGCTCTTACAGAAAGCATAATCAACTTGAGAAAAGAAAGGTTAACAATTTGTCCTTTTAACAGTTAAGGAATAATTAAGTGCTAAACCTTGCAGTATTGACTTTAACATCAATAGGAAAGCAGAAAAGGCTGAGCTTTGTGTAAGGCTGCCTAGGATAAGGTTTTCTTGGAACAAATGGAACTTGTTCCATATCCAATTTGGGGATATGGAAAGTTTGAGGCGAAATAGGGAACAGTTAACAAGCTATAGTTTATCAAGGCATGGGAGTGAACACAAAGAAGAAATAAGCACAAAATGTCACCGAGTTGATGAAAGGAGAGGGAACAGTGAAACCCATAGTTTTAGATAGGTTTTAATAACATACTAAAAAACTTAGAAACCATGAGAACATTTTGTTCTATAGTCATGCACTACTTAGCAACAGTGATATGTCCCGAGACATGCTTCCTTAGGTGATTTCATTGTTGTGAAACCACCATAGGCTGTACTTACACAAACCTAGATGGTCTAACCCAGAAGTCCCCAACCTTTTTGGTACCAAGGAGCGGTTTTGTGGAAGATCATTTTTCCATGCACTGGGGGTTTGGGGGTAGTTTCGGGATGATTCAAGTGCATTACATTTATTGTACACTTTATTTCTATTATTATTATATTATAATGAAATAATTATACAACTCAATGTCATGTAGAATCAGTGGGACCCCTGAGCTTGTTTTCCTGCAAGTAGATGGTCCCATGTGGGGGTGATGGGAGACCATGACAGATCATCAGGCATTAGATTCTCATAAGAAGCATATGCAACTTAGGTCCCTCTCAGTTCACAATAGGGTTCACGTTCCTATGAGAATCTAATGCTGCTGCTGATCTGACAAGAGGCAGAGCTCAGGTAGTAATGCCAGCGATGGGGAGCTGCTGTGAAAACAGATGAGGCTCAGCTTGCTGGTGCCTGCCACTCATCTCGTGCTCTGCAGCCCTGGGGTTGCAGACCCCTGGTCTAGCCTACTACATACCTAGGCTATATGGTATAACCTCTTGTTCCTAGGCTACAAATGTGTACAGCATGTTACCTCACTGAACAGGTAATTGTAACATCAGTATTTGTGTATCTAAACATAAGTAAACATATAAAATGGTATACCTGTGTAGGGTACTTACCATGAATGAAGCTTACAGGAATGGAAGTTGCTCTGGGTGAGTCTAAGTGAGTGGTGAGTGAATGTGAGGCCCTGAGACATTATACTACTGTAGGCTTTATAAACACTGTATAGTTAGGCTACACTAAATTTATTTAAAACTATTTTTCTTTCTTCAATAATAAATTAACCTTAACTTACTATAATGTTTTTACTTTAAAATATTTTAAACTTTTTAAAATGTTTTAATAATAACACTTATCTAGAACACAAACACATTGCACAGCTGTACAAAAATATTTCCTTTCTTTATATCCTTATTCAGTAATCTTTTTTCTGTTTTTAAGTTATTTATTTATTTTTACTTTTTAAACTTTTTTTTGTTAAAAACTAAGACACAAAGTTATACATTTACCTAGGCCTACACAGGGTCAGGATCCTCAGTATCCCTGTCTTCCACCTCCACATCTTGTCCCACTGGAAAACCTTCAGGGGCAGTACCATGCATGGAGCTGTTGTCTCCTGTGATAACAGTGCCTTCTTTTGGAACATCTGCAGGACCTAAATGAGGCTGTTTTTACAGTTAGCTTTGTTTTTTTTTTTTTGGTATGTGTAGAAGAAATACACTTTGAAATAATGATAAAAAGTATAGTATAGAAAATACATAAACAGTAACATATTTGATGTTTACTATCATTGTCAAGTATTATGGACTGTACATACATACTTTGTATGACTGGCAGCACAGTAGATTTGTTTGCCTCAGCATTACACCAACACATGAGTAATGCTCTGTGCTAAGATATTACATCATTAGGCAGTAGAAAGTTTTCAGCTCCATTATAATGTTATGGGGCCACCAATGTATATGCAATCTGTTTCTTACTGAAACATAATTAGATGATGCATAACTATTACATTATCTTATATTTTATTATATATTAGACAATATGGAGATATTGAAGATTCTTGAGGAGAGGATCGACATGTTTAAAGTTATGTTGAAAGTTTAGTCTCATTGAGGGCCGGGTGTGGTAGCTCATGCCTGTAATACCGGCACTTTGGGAGGCCGAGGGGAGCGGATCACTGGAGGTCAGGAGTTTGAGACCAGCTTGGCCAACATGGCGAAACCCCATCTCTGCTAAAAAAACATACAAAATTTAGCTGGGCCTGTAATCCCAGCTACTCAAAATATATTTGTTAGGGAAGAACCATGTTATTATTATATGCTCTTTATTAGAGTACATAAAAATAAACATGATATATAAATTTATATTATATAGTATTAATATAACATATTAATGTATATAAATATATTTTTGTTGTTTTAGAGGAATTCCAGGGAAGAAATGTGGTACAATCATACTTACAGCAGAGGAATTAAACTGTTGCAGGGTAAGTAAATATTTCTTTGGTTTAGAAAATACTTCCATACTTCAAATGCTATATCTAAAATTGTACTTAACTAATTAATTTTTAAGTAATTGTAGCAAAAGTGTTATACAATTTTATAACCCATAAAATATCATTTTAGGTACTTAGCCCTATGACCAGAGAGACTGTATTTCATAGTCTGAAAAGTATAATTAGTTATTTTAATAATCTTTTTAAGGAATTGAAAGTATTAAAATAACACCTAATATCAATACTGCTTTTTAAGCATTAGTATAAGGAATAGTCAGTTATACCAATCAGTTCAATTACTGCAAACTTTTTTGCAGTATTTTTGAAGATCTGTGTGTAATCCTGAAGGAATATTTCTTGTCATTTGAGTTTACCCCATTTGTATAAGATATTTTCCCCAATTTTTCTAATTTAATTAATCCAGAATTTATATTGGTTCCATCTCTTGTTAGCTTGGGAAGTCCACATTTGAAGAAAGGATTAGCTGCCACTACAGCTAGCAGTATGACTACAGAGAGTGCATACTCTGTATTTTTAGAACATTGCTACTTTCAGTTGTGATTTGCTGATGCACCCATTGACTCATGATTAATGATTTCACTGTTGTCAAGAAATGGGGTGATAGCTATGACACTCCAGACTGAAAGTAACAATGACCAGCTTAATCTGAAGTCAATATTGTCTGTTTAATGTGGGCCAGCAGATCTCTGGGAATTGGTATTTCCAGAGGAAAAAAATTTTCCCTAGATTACCTCTAGTGCTCTTTACTTTTAGTTGCTGCTTGATTGTAGGAACAGAAACTCACCCCAAATACCAAAAGCTTAACATTTTGACATTGACCAGAGTTTTTATAGAGAGAGCCATAGTTTATTTTATTATCTCAAAAAGTTGTCTTTTTAACTTTTAGATAAATTCTGTAGCTTTATTTACATAATACATTTCTGGTGGGACATGGTGGCTCATGCCTGTAATCTCAGCCTTTGGGAGGCCAAGGTGGGAGGATCACTTGAGCCCAGGAATTCAAGGCTGCCGTGAGCTATTGTGCCACTGCACTCCAGCCTGGGCAACAGAGCAAGACCTTGTCTCAAATATATGTATATATTATATCTCTCAAATATAGATAGATGATCAATAGATAGATAGATAGATAGTTGAGATAATATGCTCAGGGAATCATATGATATTGTCAGCAAATGATAGAAACTGGGTATTACAGCTGATTACATACCTTTGGGATTCTGGGGGCAGGAGTAGAACAGTGAGATAACAATAGGAACTATAATAACAGATGAGTGGAAATAGTTAAACACTAATATTATAATTTAAGTCATTTAAAAAACATGTAAATTGAAGCCTTTCTGTTGTTGTGCTCATTGTCTTTGTCCCCCTGGGCATGTCACGGTCATATCAGTCTCACTTTTCTCATCTAAAAAATACCCCAACATGCCCACATATAATGCTGTTAAAGACTATCAGACTCAAGTTTTGGTTTTGCTACTAATTTGTACTTTGTCTAATCAAGACACTTGACTACTTACTCTGTGTTTTACTTTTCGTATTTGAAGGGCAATAAACCAAAAAATGTGAACTAATCACTAGACTATTTAAAAAAAAAATCTTCCAGTCCTGGCAATTAACTACCATAACATTAAGTTTGATACTATAATGTACATAAAAGTAGTTTGCATATACTACCCAGTGCCTTAGAAAATATAGCATAATTATTTAAATGCAGCGATATTACCTATCCTATTTTTTTAGTTAAAATGATACAATGATTTTTTAAATTATATTATCATCTAATCATCATTTATACTTGTCTCAATTTGTAAATGTTTCAAATAATATATGTTTTGTATGATAAAGGAGGAAAGAAAAAAGGAAGTTCACAGTCAATAAGATACATGTTCTTTTTGGTGATATTAACATGCTATTTTGTCAAAATCTTGAGTTTATTGAGCAGATTTTATGTAAATGTGTCATGAATACAGTACTATCTGTTCTATTTCAAAGTAGAGCCAAGATACCAAGACACAGGTTGAGTATGGACAGGCTGCATCCTAAATATCTTCCACTTTCAGTTCTACTCTCTTGTTGGAAGAGCCGGGAAAATTCTTTTACCAGGCCTTAGTAAATGAAAGGGAATGTGTCATTTAGTGGTCTAGGTATTTTTATCCCTCTTTTTACAATTAATTCAATAACATCTGGAATTATCTTTCAATGAGTCAATACATATTTCTCATACTTAGAAATTATAGTTTAATATTTTTATCAATATTGTTTAAAATCTTGGTGTAACTTCATCTTATGTTTTCTATGTCCTGATTCCTGGCTATAGCCTTATTGATCATCAGCATCATTATTAATACTAATAAACTTGAAATAGTATTTCATTACTACATTAGTATAGTAGAATGCACAAGTGTACTCAAAGAAATGTTCATAGTTACTTCAGAAGAATCAATGCTTTTTAAATTTATACTTTAGGGAACATTAAAAGTATTGGGCATTATTATTTATAATGTTGAATGCAATCATTTTAATTCACCTACAACATCATAAAAATCTACATTTTTCTTTAAAACGAGTTGTCAGTTATTAACTTGTACAATGAACATAAGCTTTAGAGTCAGCTCACCTACATTTTAGTCTTACCTTTTTCACTATTTAGCCGAGTGAGGTTATATTGTTGAAGCTTTAAGTTATGCATTTGTAAAATGACAATTTTTTTAAACCAGTTTATTAGGTATAATTGGCATACAAATAACTGGACATATTTAATGTATACATCATGATGAGTCTGGAGACAGGTATATACCCATGAAACCATCACCACAATCAATGTCATATATTAGTCACTTACAATGGTTCCCCCTACCCTGCTTATTTATTATTAATATTTTTGTGATAATAAACAGCATAAGATTTACCCTTTCAGCAGATTTTTAAATATACAGTGCAGTATTGTTAACCATAGGTACTATACTGTATATAGTAGATCTCTATGACTTATTCATCTTACATAACTGAAATTTTGTGCTCCTTGATAATACCTTCCAGTTTCTTCTTCCCCTCAATCCCGGGAAACCATCATTCTACTCCCTGCTTCTATAATTTTGACTATTTTAGAATCCTCATGTAAGTTACAATATGTAGTATTTATCTTTTTATGGCTGTCTTATTTCACTTATATAGTGTCTTCCAGGCTCATCTATCTTGTTGCAAATGGATGGATGTTCTTCCTTTTTAAGGCTGAATAATATTCCATTGTTTTACATATATATGTGTGTGTGTGTGTGTATAAATTTTATATATATATAAAACATTTTCTGTATCTATTCATCTGTTGATGGACACTTCATTTGCTTCAATATCTTGACTTATTTGTGTATAATGCTAGAATAAACATGGGAGTTCAGATATCTCTTCAAGATACTGATTTCAGTCTCTTTCTTTGGATATATACCCAGAAGTGGGATTGCTGGATCATACAGTAGTGCTGCTTTTAATTTTTGAGGAACCTCCTACTATTTTCCACAGTGGCTGCACTAATTTGCATTCCTAGCAACAGTGTACAAGGGTTTCCTTTTCTCTACATCCTCACTGACACTGCTTCCTTTTGCGTTTGTTTTTTGATAGTAGGCATTCTAACAGGCGTGAGCTAATCTTTTGTATGGATTTGCATTTCTCTGATGATTGGTGATGTTGAGCACCTTTCATATGTGTGTTGGTCATTTGTATGTCCTTAGAGATATGCTTATTCAGGTTCTTAGCCCATTTTTAAATTGGGTTGATTTTCTATTTTTTATTTTTATTTATTTTTAGTTTTTGCAGTATTTTTGAAGATTTGTAGGAGTTCCTTATATATTTTGGAAATTAACCTTTATAGTATACAGTATCTTAGTCCATTTTGTGTTGCAATAAAAGAATATCTGAGAGTAGGTAACTTATTTTTAAAAAGAAGTTTATTTAGCTCACTCTTCTACCAGCTGAGAAGCTCAAGAGCATGGTACTGGCTTGTGGTAAGGGCTTTCATACTGTTTCACATTGTGGCAGAGAAAGTGAAAGTGGAAGCAGACATTTGTGAACATAGGGACACCTGAGGGGCACCCTAGCTTTATAAAAACCCACTCTTAATAGAATGAACTCATTCTGAGAGAATTAATCCAGTCTCATTCAAGACTGTGAAAGCAGCACCTACCTATTTATGAGGGATTCACACCCATAACCCAAACACCTTCCATGGGGCCCCACCTCCCAGCACTGTCACACTGGTGATCAAATTTCGATATGAGCTTTGGTAGGGACAAACAAGTCATAGCAACCACAGCATATTTTCTCCCATTCTGTAGGTTGCCTTTTCATTCTGTTGATTGTTTCCTTTGCTGAGCAGAAGCTTTGTAGTTTGATGCAGTCCCACGTGTATTTTTGCTTTTGTGGCCTATGCTTTTGTATCATATCCAAGAAATAATATCCAAGGCCAATATCACAAGGCTCTATGTTTTCTTCTAAAAATGGGAATATTATTAATTCTTCCTTTAGATGGATACTCTATAGGAAAGAAATGGTAGCATTTAAGGGATGTATAGGTCATAAATTTATACAAATATTTATTTGTAGTGTAATAATCCTAATTATCTCAACTTATTTTGATACAGTTTTATTCAAATGCAAATTTTATATTTAATTAAATGCCACAGTAAAAACTAATGTAGTTTAGAAATTATGTTGGGAGTGTATCTTCAATCAGTATTTTTTTTTTAAATACGGGGTCTCACTCTATTGCCCAGGCTGAAGTGCAGTGGCACAATTTTGGCTAACTGCAGGCTTTGAGCTCCTGGGCTCAAGTGATTCTCCCACCTCAGTCTCCCTCCTAGCTGGGAACATAGGCAGGCACCGCCACACCTGGCTAATTTTTTTTTTTTTTTTTGATAGAGATGTGGTCTCACTGTGTTGTCCAGGCTGGTCTTGAACTCCCAGACTCAAGTGATCCAAGCCCCCCTTGCCCTCCCAAAGCGCTGGGGTTACAGTCATGAGCCGCTATGCCTGGCCTTTTATGTAGTATTTTAAAAGTAGCTTGAAATTTTTCATAAAGTATATTTTTTGTTTTTATTTATTGATTGATTGAACAGTGTTTACAAAATGTTATTATGTCCTTGGAATGAATGCTTAGAATAGAATGGCAAGAAAAAAACAGTACAAAACACAACACCACAACCCCCAAACCTGGTCCTTGTTTTTAATGAACACATAGTTTGTGGGAAAGAGAGACATTAGTCGGCTGACTATGCAGGTAATATATGTCATGATATGTGACAAGTGATTCAAATATATTATGAGAGTACAGCAGGGATCTAATTTATATTAAGCCTTGGGGGAATCACTGGGCCTCTTTGAGAAAGTGACATTTAAGCTAAGACCTAAAGAAGGAGTAGTGTTTGCCAGCCCAAGGATAAGAATTCCAGCAGACACAGCTGTATAAGGTCCTGAGGTGGGAAAGGCATGTGTGGGTCCGATGTGAGATGGCCAGGGGTGAGCAGTGGGAGTTGATTGAGCTAAAACATTGCCAGTTGAAGGTGGAAAAGGCTGGTCAGAACCCATTAGATGTTGGCCTTTGCGGACCATGTTAAAGGTTCTGCATTTTTCCTAAATGCAAGGGAAAGCCTTAAAGCATTTTAAGTTGTGAGCAACATGAATTTTTCATGTTTCAAGACTTTTATTCTGTCTGCTGAATGGAGAATGGATTGGATACATCAAAGAGTCGAAGTGGGAGTAAGGAATAAATGTCAATGAACATGTCTGGGTGAGAAATAAGATTGAACTGGACTGAGGTGGTGGCAGCAGAGCCAAAGTAAAGATTTGAGCAAAATTTTAGAGGTAAATGATGCAACTGGTGGTGGACTGGATAAAGGATCAGGAAAATAGAAGAGTCAAGGATGGCTTCTTTGGGCACTTGAGTGAATGACAATGCCACTAACTGAGCTGGGAAAATTATAGGAGAAGCAAGTTTATGGATAGACGTTAGATGTTCAGATTGGAATATGTTAGAAGTGCCTGTGAAACATCCAAGTGGCTTTATGCAATAGAATGGTCCTTATATGTGGAGTATTAAAGAGAGGTCTTAAAAAATGTATTAGGTGACATTAAGCATAAGGCATAAAAACAAAGCAAAACAAAACAAAACTTTGCAGTGATGCTAGTGTATTTCTAAAAGTATATAAATACTTTTCCTCTCAAACAAGATGTATTTTGTGCTTAATACAAATGTACCATTTAATCCCTGCTAAGTTGTTAACCTGAGTAATTGCAAGAACATTATTTTTCCTAAGGTTATATAATTTTCTTCATTGAAATAAATCTTTATTTTGAATCAGTTATTCATTTTGCAAGCCCTAAGGGATATAATTTGAAAAATTAAATTTAGTATTACATTTACCAGTGAGCCTATGAAAATTCATGCTTTTATAATAATACACCTCTGATGTTTTATTCACAATCTATTTGAAATAAACACATTTCATTTATCTATTATGCATTGTAAGTATACAGAATGTTTCTTGGAAGTTTATATTTTGGTCCAGGTGCTTTGGGAGAAATGTGTTAAAGTGTAATGTTTTTCTGCAAGAACAATGTCCTTGGAATGTCCCCATGTTCTTAGAAAGCCATTCTCTCCCAAGGGCATTTAAATATATATGGAAATGAAGGGGCATTCAAAATAAACAAACTAAACCAAACAGCTCGCCTTTTCAATGCTGCCTTTGATTTTATAATTTGATCATCCAGAATGATTATTTCACTACTTCTATAATAGATAGTATAGAACTTTTTGATCTTTAAACCTCTAATTTAAAAAGAACATGATATGCTTGAGAGGTTTGAGGTGATAGTGATGTCCATATTGTCCTTACCTCTATTGTCACTATACGTTGCTAGAATGTATTTCCTGCTCTGTTATAAATGTTCCTCTGATAGAAGTTATCACAGCTACATGCTACAAGTAAAATCAAATAATACTATACCAATACTTTTGAAAATGTGAAATTAAGAAATCTGACCTTTCCAAGGGTAGATACTGCCTTGTTCATTACCCTATTCCAAGATTCTAGCTTGACTATTGCTTGCTAAATGTTTGCTAAGTAAGAAAATGAGTGAATGAATGAATGATAAAGGTAGCATCATGTTTTGTGTAGTCTTCTGGAATTACTGAAAGGAAATAATTAAAAGTTTAGGTGTATACTTAGTAAGTATTGCTGGACTCTGTAAGATAAAGAAGTGATGAATAAGGGAATGCTTTTTCAGACATTGTTAACATTTTATCACATAATATTCAAAATTGTAACCTCTTTGTTTAATCTGAGTTACTTTGCCACTTCACCTCTTTCCAACATTTTAAGCTTTCCTGTTCAGTTAAAAAACACACAAGCCTGTAATCCCAGCTCTTCGGGAGGCTGAGGCAGGCGGATCACGAGGTCAGGAGATAGAGACCATCATGGCTAACACGGTGAAACCCCGTCTCTGCTAAAAAAAAAAAATACAAAAAAATTAGCCGGGCGTGGCAGCGTGTGCCTGTAGTCCCAGCTACTCAGGATGCTGAGGCAGGAGAATGGGGAGAACCCAGGAGATGGAGCTTGCAGTGAGCCGAGATCATGCCACTGCACTCCAGCCTGGTGACAGAGCAAGACTCCGTCTCAAACAGAAACAAAAACAAAAACAACACACATACACACAAAACCCCACAAAACTATTTATTTTGATTTTAAATAACAATACATTTTCTACTTTAAAAATGGTTATCAATAATGTGTTATGATACCCTAGCTTGTTTTCCTTTAAATCATGTAGCTGCGAGTGTTTGAGTACATAAATTGGTTTAAATGATCGATTTGACATAATAATTAACATGCAAATTGTAATTTCAGTTACAGAAGAAAATTGTTTTTAAATGTAGTTACTGATTCATTATACTACACTTGTATATGATTAAGAAAGTAGGAACTTTTCTGTCTCCAGATTATAAACTATGTGGTCAATGTTTATCTTTCTTATTCCCCATCTAATCATCTAGTACATCTCAACATTTTATACATACTAGATATGTAGTAAAAATTTAGTAAATATTTCCTTAATGAACAGGAATTTTTTTAACTATGTTCTAAAAATGTGTACCTGTATAACTGAAGATATGAATGAGGATCCTATATTATAAAATTGAGTACCTGGCATCACCTAGCTTAATATCACTTTTCAAAGGAAAAATGTTAAAAGTTTTTGAAAAGTAATAGTTTTGTAATTAGAATGAAAATTACCAGCAAAATTTTTAAAGTCATATAACCCTTTAAAAAGCAATTTTATGTTGTCTGGGATTCTCCCAAACTTGGCCATTTGCATTAAAATAGCAAATATGTTTTCTTGTCAAGTCTTGTTTCTGATCTGCAGTTTCTAGTTATTTATAGCCCAAATCTTGAACTGTTTTATTAATTTTGTTTTTAGGATGCCGTTTTGATGCAATTTTGTGCGAACAAATTGGACAAGAAGGACTTCTTTGGAAAATCAGATCCTTTCCTTGTATTTTATCGAAGTAATGAAGATGGCAGGTAGATTTATCTTTTATGCATTTCAACTATATGGTAATGATGATACTTGAATTATAATTATTTTTCTCAGAGAAGCTCATTAAATTGATAAATGAAGTAAAATAGTTTGAGATTTTAAAAATTGATATGATTTTTGCATCTCAAAATATTGTGCAACTTTATAAACATTTTATGTTTTGTCTGATACTTAAAATGAAAAATTTCTAGTTTCATAGAAATATTTCCTCTTTATTTGTTATACAATTATAACATTGAGTTAATAGTTTAGAAGAATTATATTTTGTGAAAACCTGAATGCTGAAACAAATATATTTTGTTACAGATTTGAACCAAAACCATTTTCTTAGAGAAGGATATGGAGCTTGTGGGTTTTTTTTGCCAATAATATCTGAGACTAACTTTCAGTAAAAATGTTCATTATATTCTAGTAATTTGAATACTTTTGCCAGTTATGATTAGACTAGTTTCTATAAATTTTGAATATGTCCTTATGAGTTATAGACCATAATTTAATATGTATGGCTCTGCTATTAAATATATCTGACTTGTTTTTTGTGATTCATATTGTACTATTAGTATTTGTGAGAATGTTTAGTTGTTAATAATATGGCTAATTTCTGTTGTCTAGATTTAAATAATAACCTTGCTACTTAATAGCTATAGTACTATGGCAAGTTTTTAATGTATGTGAGATTCCGTTTTCTCCTCACCTGTAAAATGGGGTAGTAATCATAGCTACCTCACAGGGTTGTTGATCAGATTAAATTAGTTACTATACAAAAAATTACTAAGTTTGTCCAACACATAAGAAGAACTTAAACATTAGCTAATATTATTATTATGTATAGTTAATATTTTCTTTTTTGTTTTTTTAACTATGTGTAATATATCAGCTAAAGAGAACATGTTATTTGGAAATTAAAAATGAGGGGAATAGAATGGGAAAAAATGCTGCACTTATATATGAAACTATACAATATGTTGTTATATAATAAGTATCAAATGTTGCATAATATAGACAGTTTGCTATTCACAGTGAATGCACTGGCCAGTTTAAAATGATGGTCTACTTATTGGGAGATGTTTGTTGATGCAGCTACTGAGCAACTGTTGGATATATTTGCTATAGTGTTATACTATTAGATTTTGTGTATTTCCCTTCTTTTTGATGGTAAAAATGTCAGTGTCATAGCATCTGAACACTAATTTTATTCATAAGAAAAATGTTGCAGAGTGAAGAAAATAATATTTGCCAGGCATTTCGAAAATAGAGGAAAACCTCAAGAATGATTCTGAATTTCTTGAATGAAAATGTTCTTATGAACTACTTGCTCCCTGGATTTTCTATTTTTATTCTTATTAGTTTTCTTCATAAAGATTAGTTGTACAATTGTAAAATTTCACTTTATCACACATCTAATGCTCCTGGTGATACTTTTATTAAAAAATGTATTATGCTTGTAAAAATGATGTTCACGGCCAGGCGCGGTGGCTCACGCCTGTAATCCCAGCACTGTAGGAGGCCGAGGCAGGCGGATCACGAGGTCAAGAGATCGAGACCATCCTGGTCAACATGGTGAAACCCTGTCTCTACTAAAAATACAAAAAATTAGCTGGGCGTGGTGGCAGGTGCCAGTAATGCCAGCTACTTGGGAGGCTGAGGCAGGAGAATTGCTTGAACCTGGGAGGCGGAGGTTGCAGTGAGCCAAGATCGTGCCATTGCACTCTAGCCTGGGCAAAAAGAGTGAAACTCCATCTTAAAAAAAAAAAATAAAAAAAGATGTTCACTCATTAAATAAAATCTAAATATTAAGAAAAATACAACTAATCCAAAAATGTCAACTAATTTGAAAAAACTATTTTTAAAAGTTGGTGAATCTCATTTCAGAAAACTTTTCATTTATATTTACACACAGAAACCTAGTTTGCCAGCTCGATCCAGATATTTTATGTATGTGTACGCACACATAGGCTTTGTTGTATTTTGAGTGTATACAGATGCTTTTACGCCTCACTTTTTGTCTCCATTTTTAACTGCAAAGATTCTAGCTTTATTTTAAATATTTTTTTAATATGGGACTATTTCAAAAATTGCCTAATACCTAGTGTATTTGTGGCTTATTTCGTAAGAAAGACAAAAACTTAATTTCTACTGGAAGTATTAATTAAAAGCCTTCATACTTATGATCTTATACTCATGTTCTTGCTTTGACATTTATTTAGTAGCGTGATATTTATATATGATTGGGTAATAATTTTCCTTTGGAATAGCTATTTTTGGTAAATGGCCTCACTTAAAGTATCTTAATACCAGTTATTCAATAAAAATATATTTTTATAATACTATTTGTAACACACACATTATATTTATATAGAAATATTTCTGAATGTTAGGCAAAGCTACATTGGACTCCTGGCAGAATTTTTATGAGTTACACCAGCACTGGAATTCTTACCAGTGAGGTTTTCCTATATATATGATATCTAATACATTAGAAATGAGAATGATTAATAGGCAATAAATGACTGCCTGCCTCATAAATATCTCAGTAAGAAGGACATGCCTTCCCTCAGAGGAAATGTTTCAAGTGTCAAAAGTATTTAATTACTGCAGCTGGTGACACTAGGAATATAAGAGAAATTTTGATTTAACCATAAGCAAAGAGGCCAAAAAGTCAGTAGACAGTTGAACATGTTGGTCTGAAGATGGTCAGTTGGTCTCTCAGTCTAGTCTCTCTCTCTGTCTCTCTTTTTCTCTCTCTCTCTCTCTCTTCCTGTCATCTATCTAGATATCATCTATTTAGCTATCTGTATCTATCACCATACCAAAGACTTGCTATATATTAGAATATGATACAAGAGAAGAAATTCCCTTTGCAGATCTTTAAGAATGTATTTTATTTTTATGAATGTATCTTAATGAATATATTGTTTCTGAAACAAACCAACATACAGCTCTGCCTTCCCTCTGTAATTTGTTTTCTATGACTTTTTCTTTTTTTTTTTTTTTTTTTTTTTGAGACGGAGTCTCGCTCTGTCGCCCAGGCTGGAGTGCAGTGGCGGGATCTCGGCTCACTGCAAGCTCCGCCTCCCGGGTTCACGCCATTCTCCTGCCTCAGCCTCCCAAGTAGCTGGGACTACAGGCGCCCGCCACTACGCCCGGCTAATTTTTTGTATTTTTAGTAGAGACGGGGTTTCACCGTTTTAGCCGGGATGGTCTCGATCTCCTGACCTCGTGATCCGCCCGCCTCGGCCTCCCAAAGTGCTGGGATTACAGGCGTGAGCTACTGCGCCCGGCCTATGACTTTTTCTTAAAAATTTTTTGGTACCTTTGCCTTTTCTCTGTGTTCTGAGCCCCTACAGCCCTCCCCTAACTTGCCCTATCCACTTTGATTTTCTTCTTCTGCTTTAGACATCTTCATTACCCTTCAAGAGTCTTCTCTGTCTGCCCCTCTGTCTTACTTGTAATGCCTTTTCCCCCATTGACTCCTAAATTGCTTCAGGTGAGTCAGCTCTGAGAACATTTGACCATAGATACATTTTCCTGGGCTCTGTCAATTTAATGACACGAGTTTCCTTAGATGAGTGAGGATACTGCCTGGAAGGAGAAGGCACGGATGCCGTTAAGTCTTGTAATAAAAACTTGATCCTTTCATAAAGTATTATGTTTCTATCTTATCTCTTAATAGAAACAAATCCCTCTTATTTGAGAGTAGGAAAATGAACTTGAGGACTTATCAAAGGGGGGATATTTCATCATGGGGGTTAGGGGCAGTATATTCACTATGGTATTTATTAATATTTTCATGTGTCATTACTGTTAGATAATTGCATTTGAAACACTTTATGACTAAGGTCTTGATGAAGTTTTATGTATTGTTTCAGTGAAGATCACTTTGAATGCTTCTAGCTCAGAAACTGCTGCATAAATTCACATGAAGGAAGAACATTTCCAGGAGCTGATTGATGTCTTAAGATTGAATAGTTTTGTGGAAATGACACTGGAATTTGAATCAGAAAACCGAGCTTAAGGCTTCATGAATTCTGCCCCATATTGTGAATTGCTGTCTTTCTTCCCTTAGGAATTCTTTAGATATATAGAACCAATAGTTTAGATAAAGAAAGAACCCACACACTAAATGGTCTTTCTATAGATTCATGACGTGATGTTAAACTTAAATGGGCCCTTGGGGCTCCCGAGGAATTCTACTCCTTTTTTCCTAATCTATGAACATTTTCTTTATCCCAGACACTTTATCACTTATGTCTCATCCTCCTTCTTTGCTCATTGTCATGCATCCTCTTTCATAAGAAAATGGTGGCAATTGGAGAGCTTCCTCATGATCCCACCACATCAACCCATTTACTCTGCCTTCCTGAATGTTCTTGCAGAATGACTGTCTGGCCTCTCAAGGGCAGCTCCTCCACTGATGCTCAGGATCCCATCTACTCTCACCTGCTTAAAAGACATTGCTCCCGGCTGGGCACAGTGGCTCACGCCTGTAATCCCAGCACTTTGAGAGGGCGGGGCAGGTGGATCATGAGGTCAGGAGTTCAAGACGAGCTGGGCCAAGATGGTGCAACATCGTCTCTACTAAAAATACAAAAATTAGTTGGGTGCAGTGGCAGGCGCCTGTAATCCCAGCTACTCGGAAAGCTGAGGCAGGAGGATTGCATGAACCCGGGCGGCAGAGGTTGCAGTGAGCCAAGATCACGCCGCTGCACTCCAGCCTGGGCGACAGAGACTCCGTCTCAAAAACAAATAAACAAACAAAACAAAAACATTGCTCCCACCTTTCTCTCATGCATCAGAAGTGGCTTCCTTTCTGCCAGATCTTTTCCTTTACCAGACAACCTTGCTGTTATTTCTTCCATCTTGAAAACAAAAATTAAAAGTAAAAACAAGAACACCAAAAACCTTTCCTGTGATTAATCCTTTCTTTTCCCTTAAATTAGCCTAACTTTTTTCTTTTTCTTCACAGCTAGACTAAAAGTTCACACACTGTGCCTCAGTTTCTCTTCTCTTTCTTAAACCCACTGTAAAACCAGGTTTTTCTTCTCAACACTCCAACAAAGCTGTTCTTCTCAAAGTTGCTGGTGATCCTCATATTCTTAGGGACCTATGGATATTTTTCACTCCATCAGCATGTCACCACAATTTTTACAGAGATTGTTTACAAAACAACTTTAGGATTTATTGAATTTTCAGATTGTTTTTGGTAAATTTATTGCAAAGTAGGTTATGGTGAGGTGATCTTTCAGGTTTTAAAATCACGTATCTCTTTCCATGAAGTGATGTAGCAGCAACAGCGGAACTGACTATTCTGAACAAAAAGTAAGCAGAGGAATGGCTACTAAAACAATAGATCAATTAAAATAGTCAAAGCATGCAAATAACTGAAAACTCTTTCTTTATAGTTTTACAATTTGTCACAAGACAGAAGTTGTCAAAAACACTCTAAATCCAGTATGGCAAGCATTCAAGATCTCAGTCAGAGCATTATGTAATGGAGACTATGACAGGTAAGAAGGATAGTTTATTCAAAAATCTTCAAATAACTTTTAAAAAAATCTACAGTGATTTGAGGAAGTGGGATAAGTTGGCTAATTAAAATTTGGTTAAACTTATTTTCCAAAAATGAAAATATTTAAATGCTAAAATACGTTGCATATTTGCTTTAAATTTTAATTTATTATTCAAAAGTTATTTCAGAATCTTCATTGCCCTAAGCCTTTTCTATGGTACAGTCCTTCTAGAGTGGAACAAGTAGAAACACGAAAGTTGCAACACTATGCTTAGACATATTGTCAACCCTGAAATACTCTTGAAAATGTTATTTGGCATAACTCATGGTTGCTGATTCACAAAAGTTCCATAGTTATAGCACAGGAGATTTTAATGTTTCACAATTAGCTGGGTAAGGTGGTCCTGAGGATTTTCCCACAATATACCTGAAGATTTCTTAATATCAAAGTTTTTTTCTTATGAAACTTTATTGTATGATTATAATATAAAAACCCCATCCATCCCAAAAGAAAAGCAAATGAAAAGTAAAAATCTCAATCTTCATTTTGTTACATATGATAGAAAAATAGTTTAATTAACCCATATCATAGAACTATTATTAAGTTTTCTTTGAAATTTATCATGCCACTTGACTATCATTCTTTTCATTTAATAAGATCATATCTTTATTTTGCTGGACTCATTTTTTCCTAAGAAAGTTCTTAGAAAAGTTCCTAAGAAAGTCATAATGTTCTTCCTGATTAGCAGCATCAGTCAGCATCACCTGGTGATCTCATAGAAATTCAAATTATGTGGCCCCAATCCAGACCTGCTTAATCAGAAACTCCAGGAGAGAGGTCCAATAATCCATGTTTTGACAAGTGCTCCATATGATTCTGATCTTTGCTGAGTTTGAGAAACACTGCTCCAAGACAGTAATTTTCAAGAGCGGAGAAGTGGGTGCATACCATCCCTTTGAGGAGCTCTGTCAAACTGCACATGCTTCCCCTGTAGACTCTCCTTACTCTCTTTAAGGAATCAATGAAGATTTTAGAAGCCTCTTTTAAGATGCGAATTGGATTATAGTAATGAAATTAGCAAAATTAACTTCAAATTCATATGTAAAATCTGCAAGCATACATTGTTTTATCTAAGAAAAACAACTTATTTTTAAATTCTCAACCATACATTATTTTGATCTTACTAAGTAACTTTATGTGTATGTTTTTCTCATGTACAGAACAATCAAAGTAGAGGTGTATGACTGGGACCGAGATGGAAGGTAAGACAGTTCTTATCTTCTTACTCTTGAACTGGGTGTACTTTAAGAGGCACATACATTGAAATGACCACATTTTTAAATTGTAATTTTTAGATGGCATATTTGTTTTGTTTTTCCAAATGTTACTGATGCATTTACATGAAATTTTAAAATGAGCATATTTTCTCCAACCTCGAGATGAAAATAGAGGTTTTTCTTATTTCCAGTAACTTAGTAAAGATTTTCAACTTGAATCTGATGATTATAGATGTCTAGTTTTATAGCTGTAGTGAGTATCAAATTTCTGCATTTCAAAATTTCTCTGAACATTTTTATGACATTGATATCCCATACTTTTCAAGGGAACACAAGTAAGCTTTGCATTCACCAGCCAACTCTGCCTATATACACACACATATATATATATATATACACACCATACAACAAAACTCGAGAATTGTGTCTGGTCATTGCCAGACCAAATAGTTGTTCAGAGCTCTGCAATCACTGTAGTCCTCTGCATATCAAAGTAGATATTAAAGACTAAAAGAGAGGAAACTCATTTTTTTCTTTTTTAAGCATATTTTGTTTCTACTGTCATCTTCGTAGGATGATGATGAGATGTTTGTAAAATGATCTTAAGCCAAGGACCCAGAAATGCTCAAATCCCATTTTGCCCTAGACTGCTGCCTCTCTAGGTGCTCCCTGAAAGGGCTGAATATGTGGGTATCAAAGGAGAATGATAAATGGGAAAGCAAAGGTTACTTTTAATTTTTCAGTCGATGTGTGTCCTAAACTCAAATCCATAGCTCACTGATAAATGGAGCTGAAACATGAGGTTAAAGCTAAATAATGCTTTTCTCTCTGCATTGTGTACAAGCCAGAAACCAACCCCCAAAGGGATGAAAGTGCCTGGATACCTGAACACTCCTGTGAATACAGGAACAAGTTCAAGAAGGCTGGCCTGTGCTGAGGGGGCACCCTCTTCTCTTCCCTTCTGCTGCATTGGCAGAAAGTTGCTCAGTTGCAGAGCCACATGCCAGCATGTGTATGACACTTGCCCATATGCTTACTCACACACACTGTGCAATAAGTGTCCTGGAATTTGATGCAAATAGTATTTTTTTTTTCTTTCAAGAAGTGATAAGAAAAGATGGGGAGGGAAGTGGAGATTATTATTCTACACTTTAGCTGCTACCAAATAAGTATATAAGACTCAAATATTTCAGTCTTTAAGTTGTATCACAAACATTATTATGAAAAAGAGTTATAACACTGATTTGAAGTTTGCTCTTAGAGATAACTTCATAATAATCCATGCTATGCTACTGATCTTTACGTTTCTGCCAGGTATTCATTTGGTTAATGTATTATTTAGTTCTATGTGCATTCTGGAGAAATCTTATCAGAAAACTTTCTATTTTTCCATAGGGATTTATGCTCCATTGCTTTATTAAACTTGATTCACTGAGATAATGAGTTTTGCTGCTCAGAATAATAGAAAAGGAAATAATGCCAATCTGAGTAAAGGACTTTATGCCCTGTATTATATACCCTATTTTATATTTTAATTGTGAATAGGCAAAAGTGGTGGCTTTTCCCTAGTAATTTTTAACCCATTTCCCATTTAGAAACAAAAAGTGCAGCTCACTGCCAGAGCTCCTTTAATTTTGCAAAACACGATACTTGAGGCTGAAGCAAATCTGACTGATTTTCAGTGTGAAAATATAAAAACTGTTTTTGGAGTTATTTCTAAATAGAACTTGTCTCTAATCCTAATGTAACAGAAATGTATGTGATATTACATTAGAATTAGAGACAAGAGTATTTTTGGGCACATGAGAAATGGTTTAAAAGTTTGGGAAATGGTTTTAATTTAACCACTAATAAACAAGGGGTATAAATTTAGGTTTCATCCACATCCATAGACGTTCAATCCTAAATTTGCTGAAATTATAGATATTGTATTGTCTTCCTTCAAATGATGAGTTTCTGTGACTCTCCTATTGTCTCCAATCTATTTCTGAGCCACAAGAATTTTGAATAGCTTTGAAGATCAGAATTACCTTGGAATTTAATTATCTTTTTTCCTGACTTGAGCATTTTGAGCATTCCTATTCAGGATATGATTTATTGAAAGTTTCTAACATACCAGGTATTCTCTAAGCATTTTTAATGTTATTCCTTATTTAATTTTCACAATAAATGATAGGTACTACATTAGTTACCTTTCACAGATAAAGAAACTGAGGCAAAGAAGTAACTTGCCTAAAGTCGCAAAACTAATCAATGGTGGAACCAGGGCTTGAACCCTGGCAGTTCACTTCCAATAGTATATTCATAACTATTGCACTGTCTTTTTTATAGCATTGTAATCGTAATTCCTGGCATTAAGTGAAAGGCTTCAACCTGGACATTGGACTTATTCTGTGATACTTTAATGTGATAGTTATGAAGACTATAAGGAAAATTTAAGAAACAATCTAACATAATTTTTTTATTATCTGAAATTGTATATTGTCTGGAAAAATGGGTAAAGCATTTCTTGGTAACAGTTTTTATGTAACTAGAAGTTAGGTAGAAAGAAATGAGTATTACAGACTCTGAAAGAATCCTAACAGACGTTGAAAGGACCAGTGAAATGTGAAAAAGAGGTGGCTTAGATTAAGCGAATGAGAGCTATAATAAGAGCAAGAATAGAGAGAGAGAGAGAGAGAGAGTTTGTTCACAGATGATTTGTGCCATTAGATAGGAAAAATATTTTTCAACAAGAAATAGTAATTTACTTTTGAGACATCAGATTTAAAAGCAAAGAAACTATTTAGATATTGAGATTTAATAAGCATATTTTGTCATTGGGTCATCAACTGCTTGGGGGGAAGATTGGCAGTGCTGGAGGATATATTAATGCATTTTTAAATACTCATCTTACTATACCATCATTAACAGCATGTTCAAAAGAAGTCTAGGGAGTTAAAGACTGAAAATAAAGGGGTGAGATTAGGAGGGGAAAATTGTTTGGTGAAATTTAAACATTCCTTGGAAATGAATTATATGATTAATAGAATAATTAGGGGAATGGATTTTAATTTTGTAAGTGTAAGTTTAATACCTTTTTAATGTTTGAGTAAAGTGCTCTTTTATTATTCCAAAAATAGATCTATATTTTAATGTAGAAAATTTAGTGTATAATTCTATATAATACATTTTCACCAAGAAACCTTTTTCAATGTTAGCAAAATGATCAGTTTGTGGATGCCATATAAAAAGCAAAATTAAAATAATTCTTGATAACCCTTTTAATTCAATAACTTGTCTTATGTATGAAATTTGAAAGGCGCATTAGTCTCCAATAAAATATAATACATAAAAGTTTTTTAAAATCCAGATATTAATTTTATAATTTAATAATAATGATCACTGTGTGGATTATTATACAAATTGATATGAAGCTTATGATTATGTGTGGTCTAATAAGATGGTTATTACACTTTTTACATGTTTTTTTAATCTGACAAAATTGCCCAATGTAGATTTTTTAAAAACATCAGAGTGACTATGATAGGACTCATTATATTTCATGACATAATGATCAACAGAGACTGTTTCCTATTACTTATTTTTGTATTCCTGTCATCATTAATATTTGTCCTAAATCCTGTACATGTGTCATTTTTTACCCTATTTGTTGATCCAGAACTTTTAATTCTTCTTATTAAAAAACATTATTTGCTCAGTGGATGTTTTTTGAGAACTTGGACTAACATTGTACAATGGAAATATAATGCAAGTCACATATATAATTTTAAATTTTCTAGTGATAACATTACAAAGTAAAAATAAACCAGTGAGATTAATGTACTAATATATTTTATTTAATCCCATGTTTCCAGAATATTGTCATTTTAATATAGAATCAATACAAAATTACTAAGAAGGATTTTTACTTTTTAAAAATACTAAGTCTTTGAAATGTGGTATACATTTTATGTTTACAGCACATCTCAATTCAGACTACCTACATTTGAAGTTACAGCAGCATGTGGCTAGGGGCTGCCATATTGGTTGGTACTACGTAGACTTTAATGAAGTCCATGTAATATGCATCATAAGTAACTTTATATCAGATGAAATGTTTGTCTGCATTTAGTAGAAGTCTAGAATTGACTCCTTATAAAATGGGGAAAAGCTGGTCAGATATCTGTATTATTTTGTATGTAAATTTACTCATAGAAAACCAATAAGGCAATGTGCTCTTTCAATCTAGAGAGAATATGTCAGTCAAATATTAAAGTGGCAGCCAGAGCAATAAAACAAGACCCTGTCTCTATGAAAATAATAAAAACATTAGCTGGGCATGGTGGCGTGTGGCTGTAGTCCTCGCTACTCGGGAGACTGAGGCAGGAAGATGGCTTGAGCCCAGGAGGTTGAGGCTTCAGTCAGCAATGATCATGCTACTGCTTTCTAGCCTGAGTGACAGAGTGAGACCCCTGTCTAAAAAAAAAAAAAAAAAAAGTGGAAAATGCTTTACTTGCTTACAATCACATTTTGTTTTACTAGCTAGAGTATTTCAGACAATTGTTGTAATGATATTCACACAGATTGGGCACTTCAGGGACTGGTGTCCTCTTGTGTCAGAATTCTGATGGCATTTTTAACTAAATTCATCAACTGAAATTAATTCTATAAGAAGCACCTCACAAATCTATGAAGCATACAAAAATGTGGTAATGCTGTTGAGCATGTAACCAGTTGACATTAAATTAGGTATCTTGAGCTAATGTAGAATAGAAGAAATATAGTTACCTGTTCTTTTTTTTTTTTTTTTGAGACGGAGTCTCGCTCTGTCGCCCAGGCTGGAGTGCAGTGGCGGGATCTCGGCTCACTGCAAGCTCCGCCTCCTGGGTTCACGTCATTCTCCTGCCTCAGCCTCCCGAGTAGCTGGGACTACAGGCGCCCGCCACTACGCCCGGCTAATTTTTTGTATTTTTAGTAGAGACGGGGTTTCACCGTTTTAGCCGGGATGGTCTCGATCTCCTGACTTCGTGATCCGCCCGCCTCGGCCTCCCAAAGTGCTGGGATTACAGGCGTGAGCCACCGCGCCCGGCCGTTACCTGTTCTTTTTATTGAAACACATTGACAAGGGTCTGAGAGTTAGAGGCATTGCTTGACATTGGTATTAATAATCAGTTGAAATGTATTTAATTTTCAACAAGTTAAACCACAATGCTAAAATCATTCCTATACTTCTCACTATTTCTTTTTTTTTCTTTTTTTGAGATGGGTGGGGATGAATATTTAAAGCTCACTTTAACAATTGAAAAGCTAAAGTGCTGAGAAACTGCCTTGTGCTGGTTGAAAAGCAATCAGTAGCGGTATCCTTGAAAAGCTTCAATTGCTTGAAGTTTTTTCAGCTGAATTTGTAGCTTAAATTAAAATTCAGGGAGCATTAGTGGAACAGTGCTGCATTAATACCATGTGGTTGTGATGTGGGACTGATTGTAAATGGGCCACCAAGTAGATTCCTGCCTACCAGAAAAATGATGCTTTGATGAAAAGGCTGAGTTAGTGAACTGTCCATCATAAAATCCCCGCTTGTGAACAGAGAGAGTAAAAGTTTCATTTTTACCACTCTGTATTTTATCAAATGTAGTCATTTCAATAATGATATTTATATAATTAAATGCAAACTTCATTTGTCTGCAAAATGCCATACAAATGCTGTCATTTTCTGTTGTTACCTTAGAAGATAATATTTGATCAATGCACTTGATGTTTTCATTCTGGGATTATGCATTATCATGACCAAGTGATTCCTTGCCTATTGCTGAAATGTATTTGTGAATTGTCTAAAACATTAGAACTCATTTAGAAGAAGCATTTGTAAACCTTTTATATTTTTCGTATTTATTTTGTTTCCTCACTTACTCTGTGGAATCTTCCCTTAATGGTAACCTACAATTTGCTTGCAGTTAACCCTGAATATCCTAAACCTGTATTTAACAGGCAAGTTTCAGTCTCTTTTTCTTGTTCCCTTACGTATCACTTCTTTCAGACTTAAAATGTTGATAAATGGAATTTCATAATCTATATGTGATTCATTGACATATCTAGTCTTCCAGCTGCTAAAAATGTAGGTCATGATTTTTCTCAACTCTAGCTTGTGAATTTTTTGTCCCATTTCACTTTAATCTATAATTCTTGCTCTCAAGAAAGACTGATTTAATTATATATGTATCTAGTATACCTGAAGTGGTAATCAATTTTTAACTTCTGTACATCTTCATTTATTTATGACTCAATAGAAATTATATTAATTAATTTATGAAGAAATTGTTATTGAGCACTCATTATGTGTTCAACATTTTTCCAGGTAATATGACTTAACTAAAAACTTCAATCTTTATACAATATTTTAATTTTATTTAATGTGTTTTTTTAATATATATCCACCTGCCTACCTTGAATGGTTTGGGATTCTTTCAGATAATGTTTCAGAGGAAAAGGCTTTTTCTCATTTTCAGTAACATTTTTAAGAAAATTATATAAACGTTCAACACCAGCCCTTTACTAGAAGATCTTTGCAGGATTTTTGAAAGTGGTATTTCAGCCAGTTTCACTGTGCAGTTTTGGTGTTTGTCCTGTGCTCTTCTATCCCACATATTTGCTTGGCTTCACCATTTGGAAAGCCCTTCTGTGTTCATTTTGCCTGTTGATATTCTGTTCAGGTCCGATTTCAGTGCTGTCATTTGTATGAAGGTTTTCCTTGTACATTGAAAGTCATTTAATCCCTCTCTCTTGTGTGTTTACTTTGCCACTTTGGAATGTTTATCAGCATATCTAACACATTATGATTTATATTGAAGTTATTTGTTTCTGCCTTGTCCTTCATATCACAGTAATCGTCTCTTATCTCTGGGGGAATATGTTCCAAGACCCCCAGTGGATGCCTGAAACCATGAATAGTACGGAACTCTTTATATAGCTCTATTTTTTCTTATACGTACATACTGACGTTGAAGTTTAATTTTTACCTTAGGCACAGTAAGAGATGAACAATAATAATAATATAGAACAATTATAATATACTGTAATACAAATTATGTGAATGTGGTCTCTCTCAAAATATCTTATTGTACTGTACTCACCTAACTTACAGGTCATAGTTGACAGCAGGTACCTGAAACCACAAAAAGTGAAACCGTGGTTAAGGGGGCAGGGGTAGGGGAGACTTCTGTAATTATAAACTACCTGAAATCAAGGACTGTGTTTTGTCATATTATTCCTCACAGTGTAGATTATAGTGCCTTTAATGTAGTAGCTTCTTGCTATGTTACTTCAGTAATACAGAAGAGAGGACTTAAAATAGAGCTCTGATATCTTTCTTTTTCTTGCTTGCTTTCTTTTTATTTGAGTTGGAGTCTCACTCTGTCTGTCACCCAGGCTGGAGTGTAGTGGTGTGATCTCAGCTCACTGCAACCTCTGCTTCCCAGATTCAGGTGATTCTCCTGTCTCAGCCTCCTGAGTCGCTGGGATTACTGGTGTCTACCACCATGCCTGGCTAATTTTTGTATTTTTATTAGAGACGGGGTTTCACCATGTTGACCAGGCTTGTCTCAAACTCCTGAGCTCAAGTGATCCACCCGTCTCGGCCTCCCAAAGTGCTGAGATTACAGGCATGAGCCACTACACCCTGCCAGCTCTGATATTTTTCTATATCAACACTCAGTCCTCCATCAATACTTATATCCCCTTTATTTTAAATTATGAAATTACCTTAAATAATATTAGAGCTTTTATTTCTCTGGTGAAACTTCAGATAGTGAGTAATTAATTTAGATGTCATTTTCTTAGTCTTGTTTTCACAATTTGCAGGTACCTTAGATTTTATATTCAGGAATCTATCATCTTTTCTTGTCATTCAGATTAATTACTTTTTCTGCTTTATTCCATATCTAAATACCGATAATGTTCACCAACAGGAGAATTATCAAGTTCAAAACATCAAATAGATTTATATTTTAAATTTTTATTTTTAACCACCTTACTATTTAAATTCATCTCCATTAGAATGTCATCAGTCAAATTTGGAATACAAATTAAATTCTAATTCTGGTATAAGGTGATATTAGAATCTTATGGCTAGAAGAGGCCTTTAGAGTTAACTCTTCGTTTACCAAGAACAGATTGAGCATATTTCTTGATATTTGATGCTGAATGAGTTATATTAATTTCACCACTAAATCTGCCTTTTCTCTCTCAAGTTTTATTCTGTTGTGAGGTTACCAGAGGTGATATTGAAAATATTTATCTGCCATCAAAATAGATGGGAGCTGTACAATGGGAATAGGGTCCTGGGAGGCCTTTTCTTTGCCAGAGCCAGCTTTTTAATTGCTGAATTATGGGGTGGCCCAGGGAGTCCAGGGGAAGGTTCTGGGAAGCTGAGGTAATAGCCAGGCACACAGAAAATGGTGAGCAGTGACTAATTATCAGTGGGAGGGTAGATAGATATCTTTGTATTTTTATATTTACTTTGGCTTTATTGATTTACATCTCTTGAATGTAAGGCCTAGGCATTACTACAACCCGAACCTTGCAGACTGGAGAGATCGTAGCCATATTAACCCTGCCCTTGCTGTCATCCACTAAATCCAATCAGTTGCCAACTCTTGCATCTGTTAGAAATAAATAATCGAATGTTGCCTCCATTGTCACTAGAACGAATGAATTTCCTGAAGTTAATTATGTAATTATTTATAGTTTTATGACATGAAAAGATGGAATAAACACAGATGTTTATGAAAAGAGTATAAATATTTGTTACCAGGCTAAACTTATTTTGCAACAGTATCACAATTTATACAACAAAATACTGAGGATGAATTTTTTAAAAGTAAACAGATACTGAAAGAAAAGAACAGTAAAGAGAGCAGCGTAGCAGTAGAAAAAGTTTTTACAATGCAGCCTGGTGAAAAAGAAAATAAATCAGAAGTCGAGATAGCCTGAATAATAGAAATGGTAAAAAGTGATGTTATAAGGGACTATTGTGAATTAGACAAAATAGGAAGCTCTGGAATGAGGGCAAGTGGGTGGACCTGAGGTTTCATACATGTCTGTCAAAAACATCTGAGTTATAAATCCAACTTTCCAAAATAAATATATATATTTTTTTATCTCCAGTGCCACTATTGCTGAATTAGGATTAACTCTATCACTGAAAATGAACTCAAGTTATCTGAAAGTACTAGTTTTTAATTTGGCCTGTAGGCATAATGTAGTATCAACATTCCTAGCTTTCTAACTCAACATCCCACAGCAACTCAAGCTGAGAATTGCTATGTGTAGTCCATAGATTTAAATACATCAAGCTTTATAGGTAAAAATATCGTACAACAAAAAGTTAAAAGATGATTAGAAAATAAATTGCAACATATATAGTAAAATAAGATTTCTTTAATGTATAAAGAGCTCTAGTACAATAATAAGAAGATGCCCATACCTAATAACAAAGGGGCAGAGACTTTAACAATTTTTTTAAAAAAGGCGAATATTTTAAAAATGAAATTTACTAGAATATTAGTCCATTTTCATGCTGCTGACAAAGACATACCTGAGAATTTACTGTATTAGTCTGTTTTTACACTGCTAATAAAGACATACCCAAGACTGGGCAATTACAAAAGAAAGAAGTTTCACTGGACATACAATTCCAAGTGGCTGGGGAAGCCTCACAATCATGGCAAAAGGCAAGGAAGAACAAGTCACATCTTACATGGATGACAGCAGGCAAAGAGATAACTTGTGCAGGGAGACTCCCATTTTTCAAAACCATCAGATCTCATAAGACTTATTTAATATCAGGAGAACAGCATGGGAAAGACCTGTCCCCAGGATTCAGTTACCTCCCACCAGGTCCCTCCCACAACACGTGGGAATTCAAGATGAGATTTGGGTGGGGACACAGCCAAACCATATCATTCTGCCCCTGGCCCCTCCCAAATCTCATATCCTCACATTTCAAAACCAATCATGCCCTCCCAACAGTCCCCCAAAGTCTTCACTCATTTCAGCATTAACTCAAAAGTCCACAGTCCAAAGTGTCATCTGAGACAAGGCAAGTCCCTTCTGCCTATGAGCCTATAAAATAAAAAACAAGTGAGTTACTTCCTAGGTACAATTGGGATATAGGCATTGGATAAATACAGCTATTCCAAAAGGGAGACATTGGCCAAAACAAAGGGGCTACAGGCCCATGCAAGTCCAAAATCCAGCAGGACAGTCAAATCTTAAAACTCCAAAATCATCTCGTTTGACTCCGTGTCTCACAGCCAGGTCACACTAATATAAGAGGTGGGTTCCCAGGTCTTGGGCAGCTCCACCTCTGCAGCTTTGCAGGGTTTAGCCCCCTTCCTGACTGCTTTCACGGGCTGGCATTGAGTGTCTGTGGCTTTTCCAGGTGCAAGGTGCAAGCTCTCAGCAGATCTACCATTCTGGGGTCTGGAGGACCATGGCCCTCTTCTCACAGCTCCACTAGGTAGTGCCCCAGTAGGGACTGTCCTAGCAGAGGTTCTCCATGAGGGCCCCGCCCCTGCAGCAAACTTCTTCCTAGGCACCCAGGGGTTTCCATACATCTTTTGAAATCTAAGCAGAGGTTCCCAAACCTCAATTCTTGACTTCTGTGCACCTGCAGCTCAACACCATGTGGAAGCTGCCAAGGCTTGGGGCTTCCACCCTCTGAAGCAATAGGTCAGGTTGCACTTGGCCTCTTTTAGTCCAAGCTGAAGTGGCTGGGATGCAGAGCACCAAGTTTCTAGACTGCACAGAGCATCACAGTGACCCTGGGCCCAACCCAGGAAACCATTTTCTCCTAGGCATCTAGGCCTCTGATGGGAGTGGTTGACATGAAGACCTCTGATATGCCCTGGAAACATTTTCCCCATTGTCTTGGGGATTAACGTTTGGCTCCTCCTTCCTTATGCAAATTTCTGCAGCCCACTTGAATTTCTCCTCAGAAAATAGGATTTTCATTTCTATTACATTGTCAGGCTGCAAATTTCATGAACTTTTATGCTCTGCTTCCCTTATGAAACTGAATGCCTTTAACAGCACCCTAATCACCTCTTGAATGCTTTGCTGCTTAGAAATTTCCTCTCCTAGATACCCTAAATCATCTCTCTCAAGTTCAAAGTTCCACAAATTGTTAGGGTAGGGGCAAAATGCCGCCAGTCTCTTTGCTAAAACATAACAAGAGTCATCTTTATTCCAGTTCCCAACAAGTACGTCATCCTCAGCCTGGACCTTACTGTCCATATCGCTATCAGGCTTTTGGTGAAAGCCATTCAACAAGACTCTATGAAGTTCCAAACTTTCCCACATTTTCCTACCTTCTTCTGAGCCCTCCAAGCTGTTCCAGCCTCTGCCTGTCACCCAGTTCCAAAGTCGTTTCCACATTTTTGGGTATCTTTTCAGCAACACCTCACTCTACTGGTACCAATTTAGTGTATTAGCCTGTTTTCAGGCTGCTGATAAAGACATACCTGAAACTGGGCAATTTACAAAAGAAAGAGGTTTAATTGGACTTACAGTTCCACGTGGCGGGGGAAGACTCACAATCATGTCAGAAGGCAAGGAGGAGCAAGTCAAGTCTCACGTGGAGGGCAGCAGGCAAAGAGGTAACTTGTGCAGGGAGACTCCCATTTTTCAAAACCATCAGATCTTGTGAGACTTATTCACTATCACAAGAACAACATGAGAAAGACCCGCCCCCATGATTTAATTACTTCCCACAGGGTTCCTCCCAGAACATGTGGGAATTATGGGAGCTACAAGATGAGATTTGGGTGGGGACACAGAGCCAAACCATGTCAACTACTAATCAACAAAAAAAGAATTTAAAACATATAACTTAATATATAACAAATAACATTTAAACTAATGTAAACTATTTAAACTAAATAACTTTTTAAATGAAACTGGCAAATATTTTAATATATATTACCCAATGCTGTTTAGGGTGAACTGAGATAGGTATTTTTATATTTTTAAGGTATTATAAATGGGTACAAATTTTTTGAAACTAATTTAGTTACATGTATTAATATCCTTAAAAATACTGTTATGGTGGATCACAAGGTCAGGAGATTGAGACCATCCTGGCTAACACTGTGAAACCCCGTCTCTACTAAAAATACAAAAAAAAATTAGCCGGGCGTGGTGGCGGGTGCCTGTAGTCCCAGCTACTTGGGAGGCTGAGGCAGGAGAATGGCATGAACCAGGGAGGCAGAGCTTGCAGTGAGCTGCGATCACGCCACTGCACTCCAGCCTGGGCGACAGAGCGAGACTCCGTCTCAGAAAAGAAAGAAAAAAAAAATACTATTACGACTTTTATCTAGTAATTTTATTTCCAAGAATCTATTCTAAGGTAATATTGGAAAACTGAAAAAGGCTTGTGGTAAAAATGTTCAACTCAGTTATTTATGATAGAACAACCCTGATGTCCAAATTAAATTGTGGTACTTCCATCAAAAGGAATATTATGTATCTATTAATAGTATTGCGTTCGGATGGGGTTGCTCATGCCTGTAATCCCAGCACTTTGGGAGGCTGCGGCAGGCGGATCACTTGAGGTCAGGAATTGGAGACCAGCCTGGCCAATATGGCAAAACCCCATCTCTACTAAAAATACAAAAATTAGCTGGGCGTGGTGGCTCATGCCTGTAATCCCAGCTACTCGGGAGGCTGAGGCAGGAGAATCGCTTAAGCCTGGGAAGCGGAGGTTTAAGTGAGCCGAGATCGCGCCATTGCACTCCAGCCTGAGCGACAGAGTGAGACTGTCTCAAATAAAAAAAATAAATAAATAAATAATTACAATAGTATTGCTTTCTAGGAATGCTTACTTATTTGGGAGTATGCTTTTTTTAATAAAATGAAAAATGAAAATTACAGAGTGCTTTATACTAGTACTGTCTAATAGAAATGTAAATTACTCACATATTTTCTAGTAGCCATATTAAAAATGTAAATAGAATCAGTTAAAATTAATTTTAATAATATATCTTAAATTGATATCAGAAGTATTCAGCGTGATTAGTATCTAAATTATTGAGATATTTTTCTTATGTACTATCTTTGAAATACAGTATATGTTGTATATACTTACAGGAACAATCAATTCATACTAGCCACATTTCAAGTACTCAGTGAATGCAGGTGGCTAATGTCTACTATATTGAACAGTGCAGCTTTATACAGTGTATCTAGAATATTTTCTTAAAATATATACATGGAAAAGATGTATCAACCATCAGAAAGATTATCCCTGGATAATCTTAAAAAGTAATACACTTTTTACTCCTTTTTTAATGCAATTCTGTATCCTCAACATTTTTTACCAGGAGCTTTAAAAATATATTTAGAAAAGAAGGTTTTAACCAACTGTCTAGAAATGTCCACATTATAAATAAGCCAACTTGTCATACCAATTCTCCATTCCTATAGGTGGCTAAATAACTTAAATTCATAATCCAATTCATACTCCTTTACTTGTGGGATTGAGACACAGATGAGTAAGTAAGCAAGCAGAGACTTCACCTGTGTGTGAAAGAGACACAAAATGGAGAATAGGCAGTGACATTACAAAGGATTCTATGTAGAAAATCTTTGGCAATAGCTACAAATATTGGTGCTAGTAGTTTCATTATACTGTTAGTAGAGCATATAGTGTTTTATTACTGAATCAGGATCTGCTTTTCTTTAAAAATAAATTGAGAAAGTCTGGTTGCTTCTGAAAAGTGTGTGAAGATCAGATGAGAGTAATTCTATATGGCAATAATAGAGGCTTGGAGTTTAGTGTGCCTGATCTGAGGTGGCCTGCAGATCACTCATGTGTCCCACATTTCTTATTTCTCTTCATAAAAACCACGTCTTAGATGTTTCCTCATTCATTTAATTAAGATACATTACATTTCAATCTTACTAGTTCGGGAGACAAAAACCATCTAAGTCATATGCAAATTCAATCTCTTTTTTATATATAGGATTCTAGTTCCTGTTTTAAAATTGAGCAGTAACAAAGAGGAAACTTTTAATTGCACTTTATTCTCTGTAAAAATTAAGATAATACCTGCTTTATGACGATGATTTTGATTCAAGTTCCTGTTAGCATCTCCAATGTATGTTAGTTTTTGGTCCTTAAACTGAAAATATTTCTGTTCCTGTTATATTCAAAACATTTATGAATGATTTCTTATAAAGATGCTTTTAGCAAAAAACAGTCTTCTAATGAAAGAAAGCAGAGTTCTCAATATCATGTTAAGAAACTTTCACTTGTGTCAAAATGATATTTAGTCGTTCAACTCTGAAGCACCTCAGCATTGTTTGTTATTGTCAATTTTGTTATCATCTTATGGTGTCTAACTATCTTACAATTTGTAGCTTTGGAAAAAATTAGTCTGGAAAAATACAGTTTATTTATATTGTAACATGCATGAGAAATATACAAAGTTTTCCAAAGAAAAGAAGTGAAAGCCTGACCTCTTTCCCCCATTCATGGTAATCCTTTTGACCACCAAGTTACCACATAAAATACTTCATTGATTAGCATATTCGTGACTTTAGGTAATCTTATCACCTACCTCCTAAAATATTTTTGATCTATGTTCAAAAGGGTTTTTTTTTAATATTGAAGAATATTTTGAATATCTCTGTGATGACATTGTCATCTCCATCCTATGAAATAGAATACCTTGACCTCTTTCTATAATCAAGAGAAAATATATTGAAATTGTCTTACTGATTGCGAGAAATACATATTGCGGCCACTTAAAGCAGTGGTTTTAACTGGAGGTATGCATGAGAATCACCTGGAGAGCTTTTATTGAAATATCACTTCTCCAGATGCTGCTTCAGGATGCTCAGGATGTGGTCCATCTGTGAGTATTTGAAAAAACTCTCCAGGTCGGCCTGACTCAGATTTGGGTTAAGGACCATTGCTAGAAACTCATTCTGGAATAGCATAATAAAAACCCTATGGGGTGCCGTGGCTCACGTAGGTAATCCCAGCACTTTGAGAGGCTGAGGCAGAATTGCTTGAGCCCAGGAGTTTGAGACCAGCCTGGGTAACATAGTGAGACCTTGTCTCTACAAATAATTTTTTTAAATTAGCCCAGCATGGTGGTGCACCCCTGTGGTCCTAGCTACTTGATAGGCTGAGGTGGGAGGATCGCTTGAGCCCATTAGGTCCAGGCTGCAATGAGCTGTGATCACACCACTGCACTCCAGCCTGGGAGACAGAGGGAGACCCTGTCTCAAACAAACTTAGTAACCTCACTTGGTTATGTTTTAACAAATGTTTTCTGAACATCTATTAGGTATGGGTCACTACACTAGTTACTGCAGGGGAATTTAAAGATGATTGCTATCCAGCCCATGGATTGAAGAAGGGTATGTTCCTGCCAAGAATGCAATAAAATTCCAGGAACAAAATACCAGGCAAAGCATGGATGTTTCCTGAGAGAGGTATAATGTGATGCTGCATTTCAGGAAAGGATAAGTTCACATCTGTGTTGAAGTATCCCAGATGTGTTCATAATAAAGTATGATATGTGATTTATCTGAAAGGAGTGTAGGAATCAAAAAAGGATGGATATTGTGGGTGAAGAGTTCTGCTTTGGCCATGTGGTTCTGAGTACGTTATAATGTATTAGAGGGAATTCATGAGAAATGCAGACATAGAAAGGTAGATCAAGATTATATGGTGGAAGGCCTGTAATGACAGACTGGATAGTATGTATTGAATCCCATTGAAATTTTGGAATCTCCGAGAAACTTTCTGACTCAGAATCAGGCACATTTTGGCATGGCCAAAGGTGTGGGAAAATATCTGTAGAATGAATTGGAATCAGATACAGAAGTGCAAGCACTAGTTCAAGATTATGGAGGTCATTAGGAGAGTAATGAAAACCTATATTAGGTTGGTAGGAAAGGTAAGAAAAAGAATAATAAAATCACTGTTATGAATGCCATCTGAAGTACACTTTGAATATGCATAGAGCTTTTCAGTTTACAAAGTACTTTTTTTACATCCTTTTCCATTTGATCTTTGCAAAATCCTGATAGGCATGCATAACTTATGGTTGTTCTGCTTTTGTTGATAAATGAATAGAAGTTCAGCTTCTTGCCGAAGTTTGCCTAGATGACAGCTTCAGAATGTGGAGCCTTCAGATTTCACATTTATGAGTTTTCATTTCTCCACAGCACATGAAGCTGGGTAGTAGGGCCAGTGTTAAAGAGATGACATCTATGGGTTTATAACAGCCACATTATTTTAATTGAAGACTGATGTAAAACATAATTCTAAAATTCTAAATGTAGTTGACAAACATATATAGTATTATTGATGGGAACAGGAGAATAAGGCGTTGCTGACTTGTCAGTTGGGGGAATAGAGGTCGATATAATGGACTTAGATTTTGAATGGGTGAATTTAAAATTCTAATATTAGCTTTTCTTTAGTTTTGATGAGGAGAATCCCAAATGTAAACTTAGCAGATAGTTACAATCCAGACAATACTGGAATTCGTGATTACCTCATGTCAGAAGAATGAAAATATTTCAGATTACACCAACCTCAATCTATTGTGCTTTCTTATGTAAGGTTTAGTTCATGCTTCCCAACAGACACAGATGTTTCCAAGACCTCTCTGTGTTTTACTCTGGTTCCCTTTATGTGAAAACCGGCTATTTCTTCTGATATTCAGAAGTCCAGAATCTTTTCTTGAAAGCACAGATACTTAACTTTTCACACTCGATGCTGCTTATAATAGATCCAACCTGAGATAATTAAAACCAAACAAAAATATGTTTAGCTATTTATTCATGTCATAGTCAAATCATGCCTGGAAAGGAAAATTTTATAGTTGTTCATCTGGCAGAAACAAAGACATGTAGTGTATTGTCACTGCCAATAAAAATTCAGCTTTGATAAATACTCAGATACATTTCAGTGCTGCTTTTACTTATTTTAAATTTTTTTGATTGAATTACTGACACAACGCTTCTCCAGTATACTGGAGATACGTTATGTATCTCCTAATGTACCCTAAATATTACTTTATAGCCTGAAGTTCGATTTTCTGCTCCCTAAATCAAGAATTTTGTCATTGCTTTTAAAATTTAGTCTCTGGAGTTCAACTGTGACATTCTTAGTTCCAGCCTGCTTATGCACGTAGTTTTAGATACTCATAATTTTTAATTTGTATCAACATATGAGAGAAGGAAAATCAAGCCTTCAAATAGTTTTATTTAAAATATATATGTAATTGTATATTTCAATGATCTAAGTAATTGCCTCAATAATCCACATCATTACAAAGGGAAGCCATACTTTTTTTGTGGCATAAGATCTTTTAAAATATTTTGGATCATTTTTGCATTATAGTTTTAACCAGATAATATAGTCTACATTAAGATTTATGCCACTAAAAATTAGAGCATTTTAATATAAAGAAATACCACATAAAATCTTTGGCATTTCACCGACTTTGACATTTTCAAAGAAATTTAAGAGACTAACCCATTCTCTTCTACTTTATTAAATCTATTTCATGTTCATATTTAGTGGTTGTAATATCATTATTTGGCATTGAAATTCAGGAAGAGGAAATACTCAGTAAATGCTTTCTGACTAATAAATAAGGTCATAAACGGGTTTGCTTTTTTGATATAATTCTATGATTAATATTTATGATATAATCTTTAAGAATATCAAATTAATGTAAGATTTTAGATTTTCAGTTAAATTGTGTATTTAGTTAAGTACAAATGAAATATATTAATTACTATTGTGTATGCTATGCTATGGAGGGTTTTAGAATTATTTAGACAACTTTTTCCTTCAGAAACCAAATATTCTAAATTTCTATATTGATGCACACATGAAATAAACTATTATAAACATGAAAAAATGTTTACGGATCATGCTACTTATATTGCTGGTTTTGCTTGTATTATACTATGATTACAACTCTAGGACAGAGACACAAACTTGTTAACCTATAATTTTAGAGTTTACATTGTATTGTACATAGAACAAAATAAACATAGCAAACAACAGAAGAAATTTCTGATGTGCCATTCTTCCTATGGTTTATGTTTTATATTTATTTATTTATTTATTTATTTATTTATTTATTTATATTTTAAGTTCTAGGGTACATGTGCACAATGTGCAGGTTTGTTATATATTTATACATGTGCCATGTTGGTGTGCTGCACAAATTAACTCGTCATTTACATTAGGTATATCTCCTAATGCTATCCCTCCCCACTCCCTCCACCCCACAACAGGACCCAGTGTGTGATGTTCCCTTTCCTATATCCAAGTGTTCTCATTGTTCAGTTCCAACCTGTGAGTGAGAACATGCGGTGTTTGGTTTTTTGTCCTTACGATAGTTTGCTGAGAATGATGGTTTCCAGCTTCGAACCATGTCCCTACAAAGGACATGAATTCATCATTTTTTATGGCTGCATAGTATTCCGTGGTGTATATGTGCCACATTTTCTTAATCCAGTCTATCATTGATGGACATTTGGGTTGGTTCCAAGTCTTTGCTATTGTGAATAGTGCCGCAATAAACATACATGTATGTGCATGTGTCTTCATAGCGGCATGATTTATAATCCTTTGGGTATATACCCAGTAATGGGATTGCTGGGTCAAATGGTATTTCTAGTTCTAGATCCCTAAGGAATCGCCACACTGATTTCCACAATGGTTGGACTAGTTTACAGTCCCACCAACAGTATAAAAGTGTTCCTATTTCTCCACATCCTCTCCAGCACCTGTTGTTTCCTGACTTTTTAATGATCGCCATTCTAACTGGTGTGAGATGGTATCTCATTGTGGTTTTGATTTGCATTTCTCTGATGGCAAGTGATGATGAGCATTTTTTCATGTGTCTGTTGGCTGCATAAATGTTTCCTTTTGAGAAGTGTCTGTTCATATCCTTTGCCCACTTTTTGATGGGGTTGTTTGTTTTTTTTCTTGCAAATTTGTTTGAGTTCTTTGTAGATTCTGGATATTAGCCCTTTGTCAGATGAGAAGATTGCAAAAATTTTCTCCCATTCTGTAGGTTGCCTGTTCACTCTGATGGTAGTTTCTTTTGCTGTGCAGAAGCTCTTTAGATCCCATTTGTCAATTTTGGCTTTTGTTGCCATTGCTTTTGGTGTTTTAAACATGAAGTCTTTGCCCATGCCTATGTCCTGAATGGTATTGCCTAGGTTTTCTTCTAGAGTTTTTATGGTTTTAGGTCTAACATATAAGTCTTTAATCCATCTTGAATTAATTTTTGTATAAGGTGTAAGGAAGGGATCCAGTTTCAGCTTTCTACATATGGCTAGCCAGTTTCCCAGCAACATTTATTAAATAGGGAATCTTTTCCCCATTTCTTGTTTTTGTCAGGTTTGTCAAAGATCAGATGGTTGTAGATGTGTGGTATTAATTCTGAGGGCTCTGTTCTGTTCCATTGGTCTATATCTCTGTTTTGGTACCAATACCATGCTGTTTTGGTGACTGTAGCCTTGTAGTATAGTTTGAAGTCAGGTAGCATGATGCCTCCAGCTTTGTTCTTTTGGCTTAGGATTGACTTGGGAATGCGGGCTCTTTTTTGGTTCCATATGAACTTTAAAGTGGTTTTTTCCAATTCTGTGAAGAAAGTCATTGGTAGCTTGATGGGGATGGCATTGAATCTATAAATTACCTTGGGCAGTATGGCCATTTTCATGATATTGATTCTTCCTATCCATGAGCATGGAATGTTCTTCCATTTGTTTGTGTCCTCTTTTACTTCATTGAGCAGTGGTTTGTAGTTCTCCCTGAAGAGGTCCTTCAAGGAGGAGCTGGTACCATTCCTTCTGAAACTATTCCAGTCAATAGAAAAAGAGGAAATCCTCCCTAACTCATTTTATGAGGCCAGCTTCACCCTGATACCAAAGCCTGGCAGAGACACAACAAAAAAAGAGAATTTTAGACCAATATCCCTGATGAACATCGATGCAAAAATCCTCAGTAAAATACTGGCAAACCAAATCTAGCAGCACATCTAAAAGCTTATCCACCATGATCAAGTGGGCTTCATCCCTGGGATGCAAGGCTGGTTCAACATATGCAAATCAATAAACGTAATCCAGCATATAAACAAAACCAAAGACAAAAACCACATGATTATCTCAATAGATGCAGAAAAGGCCTTTGACAAAATTCAACAGTCCTTCATGCTAAAAACTGTCAATTAGGTATTGATGGGACGTATCTCAAAATAGTAAGAGCTATTTATGACAAACCCACAGCCAATATCATACTGAATGGGCAAAAACTGGAAGCATTCCCTTTGAAAACCGGCACAAGACAGGGATGCCCTCTCTCACCACTCCTATTCAACATAGTGTTGGAAGTTCTGGCCACGGCAATCAGGCAGGAGAAAGAAACAGTATTCAATTAGGAAAAGAGGAAGTCAAATGTCCCTGTTTGCAGATGACATGACTGTATATCTAGAAAACCTCATCGTCTTAACCCCAAATCTCCTTAAGCTGATAAGCAACTTCAGCTAAGTCTCAGGATTCAAAATCAATGTGCAAAAATCACAAGCATTCTTATACACCAATAACAGACAAACAGAGAGCCAAATCATGAGTGAACTCCCATTCACAATTGCTTCTAAGAGAATAAAATACCTAGGAATCCAACTTACAAGGGATGTGAAGATTTATGTTTTAAAATGAATTCACAGTGGGATTTTTGTTTAGATCTATAGAAAAATATCCTTATATTTAAGTCTTCACACATTGACAATGCCCCTTTGAAGCCATTATTATCTAAACATATCCCTGGTGTTATGTTTCCTAAAGGTATAGAATAAGATATTACATATGTAGAAAGAGTCTATCATATTGTAGAGTCTACCTTATCTTATCTACTTTAGAGCACAAACTAATTCTGAATATATCATAGTAGAGACTAAATGAATCAAGCCATTGGAATGCATATGTTAAAATGTAAATTTTAATCTCCAAAATTAATTTCAGTATATATTGAGATTAGGGCTGCATTTTTATTTTCCAAGATAATAGTTTTCTTCAAAGAAACCAAAACAAAATTTTGGTATCCGCTAATTAATTATATCAACTTTTAAAAAGTGAATAGGAAAAGGTATTTTATGGTTTTGAGGGGGTGAAAAAAATTATTAGAAAGCCTACTAAGTGACCCAAAGTCAGTAGAACCCAAAGGTAGAACCAACAGCCAGACATTATTTTTGCAGGACGGCAAGGATATTCCTTTCATTTTCATAGAATATTCAAAGATTTTTATAATGTGTTTTAGGAACAAGTTACCTACTATGCATATTTTAAAGAAGAGTTTCCACATACAGATATTATACCATCTAAGCAGCAGCTCACTCAACTTTTTAAATTATTAGATTTAATGTCTCTGGGGAACTCATTAATTCTGAAATTTTACTTCATAGTTTCCGGGAGCCTCATTTGGTTGAAAAAGTATATAACATATGCAGACTTCTAATAAAAAGTCTTTTATGAGGTGAACTATACTATTTCCATATTTTAATGCTTTGAGAACATTTATATTGTTAAAACCATTTTCATAAAGTAACACTCTTCAAAAACCATATAAGACATTATTGAAGCCTATCACAAAATCTAAGAAGTTTGTTTCCCCATAAATCATTTAAGAAAGTAATTTTAGGCTGGGCGTGGCAGCTCACACCTGTAATCCAAGCACTTTGGGAAGCCAAGGCAGGCGATCTCTTGAGCCTAGGAGTTTGACACCAGCCTGGCCCACATGGTGAAACCCCATCTCTACGAAAAGACAGAAATTAGCTGGGTGTGGTGGTATGCACTTGTGGTCCCAGCTACTTGGGAGGCTGAGGCAGGAGGATCCCTTGTGTTGGAGAGTTGGAGGCTGCAGTGAACCAAGATCATGCCACTGCATTCCAGTATGGGCAACAGAGCAAGACCCTGTCTCAAAAAAAAAAAAGAAAAAAAAAAAAGAAAAGAAAAATTTTAATTTTGAGAGGTGAGAAAAGTAATGATGTAAGAGTCCAAAGAGAACTTCATAAATACCGAATGGTAATAAGGAGTTATTACTTTTAAGTTAATATTAAAATGTGTACCCAATCCCCCGCTGGCTGAAAATTCTTTCAAATCTGAAAGATCTGAGTTGTCAAATAAAATCGATGTCAAGGATTACAGTACACTGTCAGCTTTAAATTCAAAATGTCACTAAAGTGGTAGGATGGTCTTTTAAAATTTCATAATGTACATTTTTTGACTAACAATCCCTTATCTATACAGCACAAAATAAAATCAAAATTTGTGAATTAGTTGATTTATTTGAGGCAAATCTTCTAGGCAAATTTGGTGGGAGCTGGGATAAATGCTTTTGGGACTTGAATTATCTAAATTGTCTCTACATATTGATTGATTGAAAATGACAACAGCAACAATTTACATAACTTTGTACTGGGTAGACATATATTTTTGGGGTTTGTAAGACTATTAAATCTAAAATCCTGACATGATCAAAGGATGTTTTCCAAAATGCATTTTCCCCCCATGTTTGAAAGAATTTCAATAGCAAATTTACTTTAATCTCCTCTTTGTGACTTACCCTTTGCAGTTGATCCTTGTTGCCCTTTTTGGAGTACCTCAGTCTGTCAGGAAGATAATGAACAGTATGTAGACTGGTGGCCAAAGAAAGCATGGAAACTGGTAGCCGGCTCCACAAGCAAGAATGGCGAGGGAGCTAGAACAATTATGATGCCTGTTGGCAACTCTGGCACAACTATGGGAAGTGGTGTCCCGAAATACAGAGAGAGAGGATATGCCAGAGGCAAAGAAGGGACTATTCGCCATTGAAAAGACCCTACCCTTGTGTAGCAGTGGACTCTAGAGTGCAACTTGCCAACTTTTGCTACTTCACGCTGGGGGTTTTGTGTTGTATACGTTTGTGCAGGAGAGAGAGAGAGAGAGAATGAGTATGTGTTACTCCTGGCAGATTTTTTTTCTTTGTGCTTTCTTATCAAAATATGAACCTTGGTTCAAAAAGTTATGGACTCTCTGTGTTCCAGGTTTAATCTCTGTGAAAAAGTGAGAGAAATTAAGATGAAATTATTATCTTTCAATGACATGTGGTAGTGATGGCTGACAGAGAAAAAACAAAGGTAGCAATATAATAGCAAATCTAGAGAGATGATTATATTGAACTTTACCTAATGAACTCAGGCAAATTTGAGTGAAAAAAGTAAAAAAATAGAAAGTACTAATCTATATTTAGCATTGGCCCAGAATTATCCCAGTATGTAAATGAGTAGGCTATAAAAGTATATGCTACATAAAGTAAAATTTTTTGAACTACTGTGCTATATAGTTAAAGTAAAATTTTTTGAACTGCAAATTTATTTTGTCTTGTCTACTTTTGACTGAAGTATATGTGTATATTTGTTCTTGAATAAAGTATCTGTTACTAGTATGTGGGAAAGTAGGTGATGGCATTTAATTGCATTTATTTAGCCATTGACCAATGACATAAAAAAAAGATACAAGAATACAGATTTAGTAGCACATTTTTTTTTAACTTCAGTCTTTGTTCAGCATTGAATATGTCATCATTTTATAATAGTGCTGCTTTTTTGTTTTGCGTATAATAATGATAATTATTGTTATTACTATTATTAATTCCCATTACTCTGAAAAAAATTACAACTTACTGGCCTATAGTTTAAACTTGAAACAGGACACTGAGTCACACAGACTTCCTTTTCTAGAGATTAGCGTTCAAGCTAAAAAATGAATTCAATCACATACAGAGACAAAGTATGTGAGTTACATAAGTATTTTAAAATCCGTGAAACTGGACAAGATTTTAACCTCAGACATGAGCACAGTAAAGTTTCTAATTTATATAATTCTAGATAAGTATCCAAGGTCATAACTGGATAAATAAATTCCATTCTACTTTTTAATAGATTAAGTTACATTTGTGAAACTGTTGCTAGGTAAAAGTTATTTCCTGTTAAGAATTTTTTGACTTAACTATCATATGCTTTCTATTTGTGTAGGCAAATTTTAATTTGAATGGGGAGCTTTTGTTTGACAATATTCTGGTGCATTCAGCTTGTTAGAAGCAATAGAAATTGAATTAAAGGTGTTTATATTTTAAAAGTATACTTCATGTGGAGTTAAAATTTAAATTATGTCTAATAGATACACATGCAATTTAAATGATCTAACATTATGAATATACTTAAAAATATGTATATATTCTTTTTTTTAAAAAATAATTTGGCGTAACTAAACAGGCATACAATTTTGGCTTAAATGTGATAAATTATTATATATAACATATCCTTAACTATGGCTTATAGCACTTGCTTTACCAATGTAAACCACAATAAAAATATTATCTTCATCTTAGAAAATGTGATTTGTTCTAGTCTTCGTGTATCTTTGTGTGGATATAATCAAGAGGTGAAAATAAAATTAATAAAATATTCAATAATCATAATAGATGAAATATTAACATACTAAAATTTAGAATTATAGAAGTGTAATACACACACAACACACACACACACATATATACACCCAGCAGGGCAATAGAACTTATTATATATATGTATAAAAAGATAATTATATCTTTTAAAAATTCTATCTGTATTAGAAATGGATTAATGAGCAGGTGTGGCTAAGACTGATAAAATTAGCCTAGTTCTCCTGCTGAACTCTTAATTTATGAGAGTGGTTTTATCTATGTATTTCCCTCTTGGAGGCCCAGAGTACTATTGTAATCTACATAGAGAGCAAAGGAAATTTAACCCTTTTGAAATGATTTAAAATATCAGCAAAGCTGGAGATAAATGATCACTTCTACATTGAATACATTGATACATATCTTATATATAATAATTTATACTATTAATAGTAAAAACATGAACCAGGACTTTATGAAGAAAAAATTATTTTTGCTCAAAATATGCTTATAGTTTGTGTTTACTGGGGCAATTAATTAAAAATCATGCTAGTTCTGCAGATTTAGACAGAGATTGGCTCATAATCTAGGAATACTGAAAGGTCATATTTCTTACCTTTTTAAGAAACTAGATTATCAGGATTTGAAGAAGTTAAAAGGAAAAAAAAGGCTTGATTGTGTTGATGTTTTAACTACTTTCTGTAAGAATCAGTGAAGGTTGTTGATGTTATCGTATAAGAAATCATTCTTAGATGCTGAGAAGTTTGTCAAACACTATGCCTACAACAAAAGCAAAGAAAGTTAGCAAAATCAGAGAGAGCTAATACGTTGTTATCTGGACCTATGAAGATGGCTTTTTGTGGTGATAGGAAAACAAGTCTCATGGTGCATTTTACTTGTAATCATGGAATTAAAGGCTTGGTTCCAGTCACCTCTGAAAAACTCTGCTGCCCTCTGCCCACAAATACAGATTTAAACCTCTTTTACTGTTTAAACAGTAAAAATGTCTGCAACCCATGCGTTTAATTAGGGTCATCATAACTACATTTCAGTCCAAGGGGTCTTTCATTTTCGTGACTGCTCCATTTTCAAACTCACTGTTTTCAAAAATCTTGATATGTGTTCCAGGACTTGAACAGAATTGCAAGACAGGGAAATGTGGGAAATCACTGCGCTGAAGTACAAATGAGAGACAAAAACTAAGGGTGTTGTTCCCCATGAGAAAAGATCATACCAGTTTTGTTCCAAAATCCCTTCAGCATCCAAATTAGAGAAGTTGTCTTTCACATACAATTTGTTTACAAATTCTCATTTGAGATATCCTTTGATACATATCTGAAACATGTTACACTGCGGTGTACTCCAAAGGGGAGACATGCCTTGTGAATTAAGCATACCTGCATGAGAACAACACAAGCCACATGCGTGTGTAACTCCAAAATATTATGAGACAACACACATCCATTCATAAGCCTATTACTTCTTTACAAATTAATTTGATTAAAGCTTCTTTATTGACAAAATGTATAAGTGTCTGGAGTTACAGTCTTCATAATTAGATTGTATTCTAGAAGTGACTTTTTGATAAGTTAAACACTTTTCATAGAAAGAATTAAATGAATTCTCTGGTTGATGTTTGAAATAGAAAGTAGGCATTACCTCCAATTTTAAGGTGAAGACTTAAGGACCCAGAGGTTGACTGACTGACTCAAGACAACATGGTGGTAGAGAAAGGGATGAGGTGGGTTAGGTATGTATTTGCCATTGGTCCATATTATATGCAAAACTAGATAAATGTCAGGAAAATAAGCATTATCTATTGAAGGGTGGCCTTCAGGAAAATCTTCAGATGTGCCAAAAATGGCAATATTCTCTTTTTTCCATACCTTTGTTGTAATTACATGGGGACATTTTCATGGAAAATCATAGTTGTCTGCATTACTCTCAGAGTTATTTTAAGGAGATAGAGAAGGTTAATATGTTTAATATGATTGGCACTTGTGCCATTCTTTGGGGCTGAATATAATTGATGTGAGGCAAATTTGTTAATATCACTGGCAAGGTAAGATCACAGTATGACTGTGCTATTGCCCTAAGTGTGTTTGCAAAATTCAGCTGTGCCCATTGTGTAGCAGGTACGGAGGGGGATGCTGGGAATCCTGAGATGAAGTTAATACCTTTCTTGCCTTCAAAACATAGGTGAAGAGAGGAAATACATGAATTGATGGGTTTAATATAATATAGGAACTGTGATGAGAGATACTGGTTATTTGTTTGCTTGTTTTATGTTTTTGAGAGCAAAAAAGGGAATGAAGCAAAAAAGACTTCTTGGAGGATATCATAGCTGAGCTGTAGAGTAAAAGATAAGTGATATAAGGGAGTAATACCCCAAAAGTAGAGGGAGATGGATAAGTTTGTAAACTGTCCTACAGGTTTCAGGTATAAATGTGACTATGCATAATACCGTTTTCCCACTATTAATGGAGCATAGAAATGATCTTAATGAACAGATTTTATTCAACAGTTTAATCACTTTACTCAAGGACTTTTAGAGCCAAATTACTAGCTACAGTAGTAATCAATTTGCTCAAAATACGTGTTTAATTCATTCCCTCAGACTTTAAATAACACATACATGTAATAAAAGGTAGGGGAAAAATAGAGACGTAAACAGACACAAGCCAGATAAATGGCACTGGAGTAAACTTTATTTTGTAAATGCAGTCAGAGAGCTTGGAACTTATAACATAGAATAATTATTTTAGTTATAATTATATTAACAGGAAATAGCAAAACAGTATTATTGAATCACAAGGAAATTATTGGTTGTGGTTTATTATCAAAGTATTTTTCGTCACGTTTCTCTGTATAGTGAGAATTGTTTCAGTATTACAGTATTGAGCATCATGAACAGATAAAATATTAATGCACATTATATTTTTTCTTTTAATCTTAGTAGAATCTAGGAATAGTTGGTAATAGTGTAAAATATAATAAAAATCAGTGAAAAATACCTTTAATATTCTCTTTAGAGTAAGTATCTGTGATTTAATGTATAGTATTTGAAGTCAGACAGGTTACAAAGGTTAGAAAGTATAAAAATATCCATGTATTAAAAGAGATCTATAACAAAATTGGCCTGAGAATCTATCTACTTATCTACCCAGATTCTTCAGATATATTCTTGAGACAATGCATCTTATAGCTTGGGTTGGCTATTTTATTTTTATCTCCATATACTGCCTTATGTTTATGACTTTTAGCAAATCCTCACTGCTGGATCATCTACTTCTCTAGATGCTGAATGGATGCAATAATATGTTTTCTTAGTCTTACAGAAATGTTATGTTGGAGGCTGAAATGCAATATGTGATCAACATACTTTCTCCTCTACAACACATGGATAGCATTGCATTTACATGACATGCAAATTCAGTGTTTTGTTCAAAATAATCATCTTGAACAAGATTTAGAAAGGAGGACTAATATTTTATTCATTGTTTCATTTATGTATGTTCTATCTTATTCTGAAAAGGATCCAAGGCAGCTTATAGAGATGCTTGTAATATGAGAGTAAACTAAATTGGCTGGGGACATTGAAACAAAGGAGTAATATAGGGTGAGAAATCTGAAAAGTCTGCAGAGGACAGTATGTCATGAAGACATGTCTTGCTAGAGACTTTAGCTGTAAGCTCTCTAACCACTAATGCAGAGGAGAAAGCTTTCTCCCTTTCATGATAAAAAGGGTCCTTTCAGAACAGAAAATATAAGTGGGCAGCACAAAAACACAGATTCCTAGTCCTGAGACCAAAGAGATTGTCGTAGACCTGTTGTTCACTGCTCAATTCTGTAGAGGCTTACAAATTTAACTAGAACAAAAGAGAACCAAATATCAAAGAACTGCTTCAAAGTTCCCCAATGACTTCAACACAGGCAAGTCAATGTGTAGTTTGGCAAACCTGACCATTGCAGTTGGGTCGGGATTTGTTATTCTGTCAGACTGACTTTATCCAGATGGAGGAGAAATTGGATTTACTCAAGACCAGTGAATTATCACTTCTTTCTGCCATGTTTTTGATAAGCATTGTGTGGCGGAAATTAAGTGTTAACAATTAAGAGTTGAACATTGGATTGAGATAATTAACCAAGCATGGGTAAGTTTAGCACAGTCAGAAAATGATCACAAGGGCTTAAGTGATTCAGGCATTTTTAAGGCCCCTATGTTAGGTTCCCACCACTGCTGTGGTGAGCTCTGTTTATATAAGCCTCCTCTACAACTATCGATATCAAAGCGTTGTGTTTGAAGTGCTCTAATAGAACCTTTTATCTCAGTGGTTATTAAGATATCTGAAACTTGCATAGCAATGGAGGAGGATGGATTCTAAAAAAAAACCTTCATAATTCAGAAAATTTTAAGAGTGCAGTGAAATAAATCATGAGTATATACTTGCACTTTTGAAGGTCAAAGAGAATTATTTTATGTGTTCTGATTAAACCAATGTTACCGGATTTCATACGAATTGTACTAATCCAAAAGTAGTGTGTAACACTAAAGTGCTGTTTTGTGATTTTTCCCTGGGTAACTTGAAAGTGAGTTCTAGAAGTTTGGGTTCATAAATAGGAATATATCAGAGCCTACAATTCTTTTTGCTATTAACATATTCATATTAATCTGCTTCTGAAATTTAAATCTAGAAGAGGTCAAAATGCTATTGATATAAAGAGTAATGTTTCACATAAAATACCATGAAATATTAGTATATACAAGATAGTTTAGGGAGAATAAAGGACTGGATACCTAAGTAAGTTTTTTCTCAAATAAGTTCTTTAAAAACATTTTTTTATTGCAAAAACTCTACTAAAATTAAGGGCAGATAACATTTTTACCCCTCCACATCCTGTCTTTAAAAACTGGTATTTTCATTGGTTAAACACCACTTGTATGTTGCTTGTTACTGATTGCAAGGTCCATAAAAGTTTCATGGATTTTAAGCGATTCAGTTTTATGGCAAGGAATAGCTTGCATTTGCAAAACAAATTGGCAGAGCTTAAATTCTATTATACAAATGGCTACTGTGACATCCCTTATGTTTGTTATATTGCTTTCACTCCTACAATCTGTATATTCTTCTAACGTGCTACATTTCACCATTGCACTGAATACCAGCAGTTTGTACTTACTTCTCAGCAGTGTGTGTTCAACTTAGCACTGGCCATTAAATTAACTCAAAGGGGTAGAATATGAGTCTGCTCTAGATTGCTGAATGTTTAGCATGTTTTTGTAGTTGCACAGGTCAACCTCAGTTGATGAAAGCTTTTTAGTTAGAACTAATACATGTTTACTCAATCCTTACCCCTCCTCACCTAAACTGAGAAGACACCTGAGAAGGTAGTGATGATTACTTCAAGGTGCAGAAATTCTGAATTAACATGTTGTTATTGATAAAATATTTATTAACTATTATAGAAAAAAAGTGTAGTGACTATTACACATATTAATATGTTATAACTTTTTAAAATAGCATCCTATTACACTCTGGCCATAGGAAAGTTTGAAGATTCTTAAATTATTATATTTTAAAAATATATATCCATAGATATGGACAATAATAAATTTATTAGTGTAGTCTCTAACTTTCATCCTAGTTAATTAATCATTTGAATAATAGATGATTTAACAGTTTTGAGAAATGTGTTATCAAAACTAGTATACCTGTTTGAAATGTTAATATTGGTGGAATAAATTAAACATTTGAATATTAATGAAATTGTCCGGCATACATAATTTTAGATTAATGAACAATGTAATTATGTATTAGTCCTTTTAAATATTTTGTAAATTATTAATTTATATTCATAATAATATCAAGCATTTTTTTGATAATGATTAAACCTTTCTAAAAACTTTAAAATACAGTTGACAAATATATGAAAGCCAATATTATGTACTTTTTTCCTTTAATTTTAGTCATGATTTCATTGGAGAATTTACAACAAGCTATAGGGAACTTTCTAGAGGGCAGTCACAATTCAACGTATATGAGGTAAGAGGCATTTTATTTTACCATTGTTTTTTTCTAGAATAAATAAATCTGTGCTTTAAAAGTGTGGATTCTGCAAAGCATAATTGCCAAAGGTTAACTAAGTATCAGTGTATGTAAGAATCTTTGAAGTTGTTGAGCAGACATTTTTAGATTCAATGATATTACTTCTTCAAGTCACATTTAAATGTTTTTGATTTTTAATTCTTGTGTATAAAGCATTTTACTTTAAAAATATGGATATAAGTTTATTGTTTCTTAAGCTTCAGCCTTTATGTTTTGCCTTTTTACCAACCTCCTCTTCCATCTCTTCCTAATAAAGAAGAAGATTAGCATTTTTGTGGTGTCAGTGTGGCGTTATAAAATGAGCTGTGGTCTGCATATATATCTGAGCACCTTCACTACCGTTTAGGTGGAGACTGAAGGGAATGACAAGGTAATATGCAGCCATTAAAGAAATCCACGTTGTTAAAGCAGACACATTGTAGTTATTTCTGCCTAACACCACTGTGCCAGTTAATCACCAAATATGTATTGAGCATATAGTATGTTCTAGCACTGTTATTCCTTGAGCTATGGCATCTGTACATTTCCTTTAACTTTAAAATTTAACGTATGTGGATACCAAAGGAGAATATCTCAGTATTTAATCAAGAATGGTAATACTTCCCTTCCAGGTTGATGCTAAAATTGGCCTCTGTTAAGTAGAGAGTGAGAAATCTCCTTCTACCACTTTATTCCAGCATTTATTTATTCATTCACAAAACAATTTTTTAAGTAGTTTCTATATTTTATGTTCTATGTTAGGCCCTGGGGATACAGAGGTGAATATAAATTTCAGTACCTAATGGGAGAGACAGATATAAAATATGTTTTGTGTAGATAGATATGTGCTCTATATAGTAGTATACTTAGTGCTCTATGAAATTATTACAGAGGGGCCAAACTCAGCTCAAGAAAATTTCTCAGTCAGAAAGAGACAAAGATTATGCATTAGTTTAGCTGGGTCTTTCAAGGAAAGAATATTTAGGTTCTAAACAGGAAATAAATCATATAAGACAGGTTGTAATTACGTAAATACCTATTTTGTCTGCCTAACATCAAGGCTGAGGAAGAACCACACATGCACACTAGTTCTCCTTGTACTTAGGCATCATCTACTGCTAGTCAGCATATAATACTCCAGAGATTAACCACTTTTAGTTTCTCTAGCTTTTGTAGCATTTTCTCATCACTGGTTTCAGTCAGTCCCCAGACTCTCTTGTCCAATAAAGCTTGCTAACTGACAAGACTGGTGCCACATCTGATGAGATGACAAAGAAGCTTAATAATGTTTATGTGTTCTTAAATACCCTGTAAGGCCATGACTTCAAATATAAATGTTTTCTTATTATGCATATTTTCAAAAGAAGAGATCAGTCTGAAGAAAATCTAGGAGACCATTATGAATTATGTACAAGTAATTTTAGGAGTTCAATGGACAATCTTGGGTCCAATACATTACAAACTTTATTATCTGCACTTGTGCAAGGGATTCAGGTTTATCAAGCAACCAAAAAAATTTCCAGCCATTAGTTCTTCATATAATTATTTCTGCCACTTTCTCTTTCTCCTCTCTCTTTTTGGTACTACCATTCTACTTATGTTGTTATGCTTAATGGTGTCCCATGGTTCTCTTAGGCTCTGTTTTTTTGTTTTTGTTTGTTTGTTTGTTTTGTTTTGTTTTTCTTTTTTTGTTTCGTTCCTCAAACAGGAAAATCTCAGTTGACAAATCTTCAAAATTACTGATTATTTCTTCTGCCAGCTCAAATGTTCCGTCGAACCCTTCTGGTGAATTTTTCATTTCAGTTGTACTTTACAAGTTGAGAATTCTTGTTTGGCTCCTTTTTATGTAATTTTGATTCATTTTTGATATTTTCTGTTAGGTAAGGAACTGTTTCATACTTTCATCCTTTACGCATGATTTCCTTCTTTCAATATATTTGTAATAGCTGATTTAAAGATTTTGTTTAATAAATCCCATATCTGCAAGTCCCCAGGGACAATTTCTGTCGACTTCTTTCTTCTATGTATAGAAAAGTGTGGGCTATACTTTCCTGTTTCTTTGCATATCTTATTTTTGTTGTTGTTGAATGCTGGAAACTTTAAATAATATAATGCAGCACATTGGAAATCAGATCCTCCAGCTTCTCCAAAGTTTGTGTTTTTTGCTCTTTGTTCAGTGATTTTCATGGACTAATTCTATAAAATTGTTATTCTTTGTCATGTGGGCTGCTGAAGTCTTTGCTTGGTTAGCTCCGTGATCAGCAGATATTTTGACAGAGATTTGTATACATTTGGGCACTCCTTATATGCTCCAACAACGTAAAGTCCTGCCTTAGCTTTCACTTGTTGTTTGAGCAGAGACTTGAGGTTGGACGGAGATAAGAATTCCCTAGATCTTCCTTGGGCATGTGTACACCCCTTCAAAGGGCATGGGCTTCTAGATTTCCAGCAATATGCCAGAGCTTTTAAAAGCCCCCGATAAGCATCTCATTCTCTAGATCTTCCTTTTTGGTTTTTGAGTTAGCCTCTTACTTGCCTCAGATTATATCATCACCTCCAGCAGATACGCTGTTAAACACCTGCAACTGACTACTTTCAACAAATGTCCTGGAGATAGGGCATTTCCCTCTGAGCAGGCTTTGAGTTAAGTCAAATAATGACAAGCCCAAGCCCTATGAATGGAGCTTTTCCAGAAAGCTTCCATATAAGTCAGTTAATGACAATTCTCTAGAAAAGACACATTTTTTTTAAGTTTTGTTTTTAATTGACACATGTTAATTGTAAATACTAATGGTGTACAGTGTGGTGTTTCAATACATATATACATTGTGTAATGATCAAATCAGGATAATTACCATATTCATTACCTGAAACACTTTTTGAAGAACTTTATACCCATTCTGTCCCCTCCAATGGCTTTTAAACTGTTGGTTTACACAGCCACTGTAGTTGCTAGGCTGACGGTTTTCAATGCTGCTACATACAGAGCTGGGAAAAGTAGGATTGCAGTAAAGCAAGTTAAAATGACATAGTGAGATTTACTCTTTGTCTTGAATGAGTGATCACTGATTTTTGCAAGCCTTTGATTAATTTCCAGATTCATGAAAAAATTTGATTTTGACAATTTTTGCTAGTGTTCTCATTGTCTTTATGGACAAGCAACTTTGCAGAGGGCCTTACTCTATCATTCTAAAGTGACTTCCCTAGTCCATTATTTAGTTTTAGAAGTGACGGATGCTACTGTATTTATATATTACATAACTTTATTATTGTTACATCGGATGTATTATTGGCAATTGAAATGGTCCTATATGATTAAATGAAAACATCTTTATGCAATTAAATTTAATTATGTAATTTAAAACCAAATCATGAGGTAATTTTTCTGTGACAATAGTGCATTATGATGTGCTGACAGCAAAAAGACTCATATGAACTGAAAGATGCTTATGAAATTCTACTAAAAAGTTACTCCTAAAATTTAGGAAAAACCTCTTCTAAACCAAAGGCATAATGCTAGATTAATGATTTGTAGGTGGAAAAATGCTGAAATATGGTTTTTCGAGAAAAATGTATCACTGAACTTTTTATTTTCAAACTTTTGATTGAATTAATTTTATTCATTGATTTCCTATATATTGTTCAGAGTGCTTGTTCCTCAAATTATCTGGAAGAATTGCGGAATTCTTCAAATCTCAAGATCAAACATTACCTTTCTCCTCCAAACAACCTGCTCCATATTTAATAGAATAACCATTGAACCATCTGAAAAATTTGTGATCTTGCCAGTGACGCCCAACATCCTTACTGGTGCATGTTTTCCTGTAGAATTTGTTCAATTAGGGCTTTCTGAAATACACAATAAATAATACGTGGAATGAATGAATGGATGACCAATTTCTCCTTTAGATTTTCTACTTAAATCTGAAAAACGTACTTTATTCTGTTGTCTTAAAGTTTTGTTTTTTTTTTTGGTGAGCCGTTTTTAATGGGGCTTCCTTATTTAATGATTCATTACTTCTTGCATAGAAAATTTAAAAATAGGACCCTAACTGTTGCCTTCATTTTCTCCCCTTACAACTCTATCCTGTAGACCAGGGGTCCCCAACCCTCAGGACACAGCCTAGTACAGGCCTGTGGACTTTTAGGAACTGGGCCACACAGCATGAGGTGAGCCGCAAGCAAGGGAGCATTACTGCCTGAGCTCTGCCTCCTGTGTGCTCCTTATAAGAATCTAATGCCTAATGATCTGAGGTAGAACAGTATCATCCCGAAACCATCCTCCCCACCCCCATCTGTGGGGAAACTGTCTTCCATGAAACCAGACCCTGGTGCCAAAAAGGTTGAGGACTGCTGCTGTAGACCTATTATATCATTCTCCTATTTAAACATCAACTAAATTAACACCCAAACTCCCTGGCCAAGATTAAGGATCTCCCTAACATGCCTCAGCTTATTTTTTCAGATTCACTTCTGATCCGGTTGTGTGGGCTCTCTGCCCCAGCCAACCTGGGTCAGTTGCTTTTTCTTCTTTCTAGAATGGTGTGTTTATTTATTTATTTTAAATTGAAGCCTTAGTTTAAGTTAATAAATTGTGGTTCAAATAATACTTATTCATAAACGATTTCATCTTTTTTTCCTGTCAAAGGCTTTCTCCATATTTTGGATTGAGATGATCTGAAGAAGTCTCTCCTCAGGCAATTATGTATTACGTTTATCCCATTAGATCGGCAGGTCTTATTTATCTTAATATTCCCTATATCCCCTAATATCTTATGAAATATAGAGGTGCAATCTTATTTACTTATGGATCAAATAGTCGAAAGGCCAATCTTATGTCTACAAAGCAGACCTTTACCAATTATTATGTAGCATGGGAAACTGGTGGAAATTACTAACATTATAAAGCAATAGTGAGGTCAATAGATCCTTTAAATATTCACACATTGGATGATTTGCTATGTTAGTGTATTTAATTTTTAAAGTTATGTCACTTGAATATTCTTTAACAACCCATCATTTTTCTATAAAGCAATCATTAGTTAGGACATTAGATGTTAAAGGTCTCTATCATATCAAGAACGTGACCATAGTTAAGGGTAATCAATATGTACAGGTGAGAAGAATATTACAGACAAAACATTTTTAAAAGATAGTCACTATTAACTTTTGCAGAGAAGTTTTGACTGAATGACTGTCCAAAGTCATACTGAAAGCATTTGTAAATGAATACATGCATAAGAAGGGAAGGCAGCAGGTTAAACTTCACATTTTTAAAAATTCAATATAAAACTTCGGTATAAAACCTAACACATTTTAATTGTTTTATCTGCTTTTTAAGGTGGTGAATCCCAAAAAGAAAGGAAAAAAGAAAAAATATACTAATTCTGGAACAGTAAGTCAAATTTTATGTTATTTATTAAAGATTAAAATAAATGAATAAGCATATATGTAGATGGCATCTTTAATCCTACTGGAAGCAATTAAAAAAACTGAGCTGTGTTTCACTCAGGGTTTTAATATGAAGGAACACAATAGAAAAATCAACTTCTCAGGGGACAGATTGTAATCAAGAATACCTTATAGAAGGTAGTGACTTGGCTTCTTGTAGATTATCCTAGGGGCTGCAAGGCCTCTGAGAGAGGCTGAAGTTTTGTTATGAACTCTTCATTCAGTGGAATCCAAGTATAATGAATCAGGCAGATGTAAAAAACACAAGTGGTAGTAAGAAATACTATACTCTTTATAGGCTATACTTAATAAGTAAGACTCGTTTCGTGGGATGTGTATGTGCTCAGTAAAATTGACAACTCTGTGGGAATGGTGTACTAAATCAGTACAGAAGGCAAAGATGTATCAAAAAATATAAAAAAAATCAATATCATCCTATTTTAAGAAAAAATACTGCAGAGTTTTTTCTTAAGGTAAACTTTTTTGGGGAGTAGCAAAATCTAACTTTTCCCTCAATTTTCTTTTAAAGATCTCTATAAAGCAAGACAGTTAAAATATTAGATGAGCTCGTTACAGAATCCTGACTGAAAACACACATTTCCTCTTGAAGGCTTTGCTCACTGATTTTGGTTTTTTGGTTTTAACCATTTTCCAACTCCCTTTCATCTTTCCTTTTATCTAAAATGGGAAGTAACACAATGTCCTTGTAGATAATTTTCATGCTGGTCTTCAAAGGAAGTAAACTGGTCATAGAAAGACATTGGTTAATTTTTTTGGTCCCTTTCCTTCAGATAATTTAAAATGTAAGAACAATCAGTCCTAGCAGATGTTAATAAAAAATAATATCTTTAGTGAGTTTCAAAATGCAAAGAAATATGATTTTCTCTCTAATAATTAGAAAGGTCTATTTGGGGTCACAAACAACTAGAAGGTAATTCTGTCTTTTTCTTTTTCAGGTAACTTTACTCTCTTTCTTGGTAGAAACAGAAGTTTCATTCCTTGACTACATTAAGGGAGGGTAAGTAATTCTCTCAAATTGTTTCGTTGCTTAGGCATTTCCTAAAATTTGTGTAACAAGCGCTACCACGAGGTACCTGGCACTGAAATGATCACCTTTATTATATTTTGATGGCAAGCCTATTAGACTTCTGTTTCAGATATAAAGAAAAAACGTACATACCTAGAGCTATTACTTTTGGGGCAAATTGTAACTTTAACCAAAAGAAAATATTGTATGATTAATAGTTGTAGATATGGCTATTATGTTCACTTTCATAGGATGTTTTTGTTTGCCTAATACATAGGACATTTTACATGTACTATTTATTATTTGTAATATAGGTGAAAAGCTTCAGGGCCTGATTTAAATGTATATACTAGGTTAAGAATATTAAAGGAATGTGCCTTGTCATAAAATCAGAATGCAGAAATGGATGGTGTAGTCATTTAGTTGGTCCCACAGCTCTCAGACAGGAATACATTTCAGGAAAAAAAAAATAGTTGTAACCAATTTTGAAATTTTTCAAAACCCAGACAGATCCTGTGTTGGTAATGTACTATAAGTTCTTACACCCTCATAAATAGGGAAGTATTTTCAATTTTGCTTCTCATTTTAACCTATTTCTTCCTTTTCTTAACCTTACCAAGCATCCCCTGTATTAGTCTGTTCTCACACTGCTATAAAGAAACTACCCCGAACTGGGTAATTTATAAAGGAAAGAGGTTTAATTGACTCACAGTTCCTCATGTCTGGGGAGGCCTTAGGAGACTTATAATCATGGCGGATGACCGATGGCACAGGGGAAGCAAGGCGTGTCTTACATGGCAGCAGGCGAGAGAGTGCATGTGAAGGAGGACCTGTCAAACACTTGTAAAACCATCAGATCTCATGAGAACTCACTTACTATCATGAGAACAGCATGGGGGAAACTGCCCCCATGATCCAATCACCTCCCACCAAATCCCTCCCTCGACACAGGGGGATTGTGGGGATTACAATTTGAGATGAGATTTGGGTGAGGACACAGAGCCAGACCATATCATCCCCAGAGATTTAAAAAAAGCATTGGTTGTCTTGCAGTATAAAATGTCTACACATTCTATTTTCCTTCACCTTGTATTTTCAATACGCAAAAGTGGAGTGAAGCAAATTTGAATGTGTTTAGTAACTTCATGATGAATAACAGTCAGAGATATCACTCACGTAAACCTCTTCCTAATTATGATTCAGCAACAGCCCCCTGCCACCCCATAAAGACACTGATAGAATGTCCTCAGGTTGAAGAAGGGGTTGAGGGAGTGGGGGGACCAAGGGAACAAAGATAGCTTCACAAAACCCAGAGAGCTTGCCTCTTGTTGCTCTTAATTAAGGATACAAAGCAAACAAACAAGCAAAATACCTACTTAAATGAGTACTCTTTGCTATATACGGGCATCCAAAATGCAAAGTGGCTGCACAGACTAAGAAGCAACAGTGGTTGTTTCAATAAAGTTAAAGTACAAAGTAGAAAAAAAAGTTTGCCAACTCTTAGTATTCCAATGTCTTTGCCTATTTTTATTTTCAGAAGATAGGAAAATAGAATGTTGAATTTGTCATAAAAATATATTTTATTCCTGTAAAAACTCCTTAGTAGTTGTAGGTAATAGTGTTACAGGATCTTTGGGGTGCCGCTTTTTCTGGCCTGAAACCTCTGGCCGGTGGCACCTTTTCCTGAGTTTGCTAGGGCCTGCTGGGCTCGTTCCATCCGCTTGGCCTAGCAGGCTGCACTTTTCTCATGCTACCAGCCTGCATCCCACGCCTGCCAAGGGTGAATCAGGTATGAAGTGGTGAGGGGTGTGTGAGCGTGAGATCCAGCCACTGTGCAGTCAGACATGCTGGCTGCTGCAGCAGGGTGGGCAGCTCAGGGTGCTGGCATAGGTACCAGCTCTCCGCAAGGCTATGGCTGGACCAGACGCACCACAAGCAGCTTCCCTGGCTGGCACCGGGGAATTCAGTGGCACCCGAAAGCTTGAAGATGCTAGGCACTGCAGGACACCAAAAAGGAAGTCACATCCCTGGCTCAGGGAGCTCCCAGGTCTGGGCTCCCCCAGGGGCCACAGCTATTCTCTCCTTCTCTATGCCTGCAACATGGTGAGCAATGGGCAGGTTTCAGCCCTGCTTGTGTTGTAGTTTGTTTAGCTCCGCCAGTTGGCAGGTCCCAAGTTCTTCTCCTATAGCCAGGAAGAATGAGGTATGCAGAAAATGAAGGGTGAGCCAAGATGAAGAGGAGTTTTATTGAGCAATAGAACTGCTTACAGGAGACCCTCAGGGGGTAGCTCCTTTTTGCAGCCAGGGCGCCCCTAGTGTTTAGCTCCTAGCAGAGAGGGGACCCTGGAGTGGGAAGCTCCTCTCTGCAGGCAGGTTGTCCTATCATCTTCCCAGATCTCCCAGATAGGAGGCCTTGGAGTGGGTTGCTCTTCTCTGCAGGCAGGCCCTCTCATCATCTCCCCAGCTCCTAGCAGACAGAAGGGCCTGGAGTGGGTTGCTCCTTTCTGCAGCTGGCAGTCCTGATGTCCCTGCAAGTCTCTAAAGTGCTCAGCAGAAAGGAGGCCCTAGAGTGGGTAGCTCCTTTCTGCTGCTGGTCAACCCCATCCTTACCAGGCATCCATCCCATCGGCCCAGGAATCTGTCTGCCTCCTGCTGCTCTTCTTGGCACCTGGGCTCAGCACTGACTTTGCTCCAAGATTAGAGCGGAAGCCAACAGCAGGGAGAAGCCAGGCAGTGGGAGTAGGCACTTCTGAGCCTGTGAGGGCAGGAGCTCTTCCTGGGCCCCCAAGGGTACAGGGATGCCTGAGCTTGCAGCTGTGGTTTGGGCAACTGCAGCTGTGTGGGGAAATGCGAGGGGGCAGCTCCTGCCTGCTCCATGGAGCAGGAGTGGCCTGGGAGGTCTGAGTCTGTAGCCGTGGCTTGGATGACTGCAGTGCACCTGGGGAGCTCCTACCCCAACTCGGAAAAGGCAGAGCTCCCACTTGTCCCTGGCTCCCACACGCTCCCCGGAGCATGCAGCCCCGGCTGTGCCTCCTTGCTGCAGCCAGCGTGATGGCAGCGTAAGGCTGTCTGGAGCAGCTGCTGCCATCAATAGTTGATAAAGAAATAAGGTAAGTAAATGGATATCCCTTAGCACCTTCTTTATAACTTAAAAAAAAATTACTTGATATATCTGGTTATATTTTACATGTAGAAATACTGATTTGTGGTATTGAAATGTTATAAATTTCTTTCAGTTTTTGTCTTGTTTTTTTGTTTTGCTTTATGAGCATGTGAAGAATATGTATGTGTATATATAACAGATATCCAGTACGTTCGGTCAGCGGTGCAAATCTAGCAATATTTGGGTGTGAGTCTATCAGTATAAAACATTCTCAGAATCTGGTACCAATAAATCACATTTATTGTTTGCTCTCATTCTCCTGCTGAAAATTCTTAGGGCTAATCAGAGCAAATGGCATTCTATAGTACCTGAAGCAATGACAGTCTTAACTCTATCACACTTGTCATATTTTTCTGTTGCTTACAAACCTTAGGATTCTTTTCCTTAGCTGCACACTTCCTACTTATAGCACTGCCTGTGCAGGAAGAAATGCTAGTTATTCTATAAGTGGAGCCCCAACTTATGGGGTACAGTTTGCCCCAATCCTGGCTTCTTGAGGCTTTTATAAGAACCCAGTTCTGGGGAGGTGGAGCTTGCAGTGAGCCAAGATCGCACCACTGCACTCCAGCCTGGGCGACAGCAAGACTCTGTCTCAAAAAAAAGAACCCAGTTCTGATTTACAAATGGGGCCTGGGGAAATATAGTTTAAGTTTCACAACATAATTAATCTAACTAGACCTAAGATAATTTCTATAAAACTTTATTATTTGTAAAGGATATGAAAAAATATTATTTGCATATATTCCGTTGTTTTTATACAAAGACATATTATAAATGTATGTAATGTCCTTAAAATATATTACAGTTATACATTTAACTATTATTCACCACAATATAATGTTTATAAGTAAAATACAGGGATATTAACTTATTCTTTTGGATAGTGGAATCCAAATCAACTAGCAATAATAATCATTGTATTATGTATCTTTAAATGTATTTATATATCTTTGCCCTGAAGGACTTCTTAAGAGCAATTGGCACAATTTCTTTCTTTCTTTTTTTTTTTTTTTTTCCTGAGACAATCTTAACTCTGTTGCCCAGGCTGGCAACACTGCAACCTCTGCCTCCTGGGTTCAAGCAATCCTCATGCCTCAGCCTCCCGAGTAGCTGGGATTACAGGCATGTGCCACCACGCCCAGCTAATTTTTGCATTTTTAGTAGAGAGGGGTTTCGTTATGTTGGCCATGCTGGTCTTGAACTCCTGGCCTCGAGTGATCTGCCCTTCTCGGCCTCCCAAAGTGCTGGAATCACAGGAATGAGCCACCACACCCAGCCAAATTGGGCACAAATTTAAAATTTGACTTTTATTAATGATATGGTAAAGAGATCTAGCTTGGTCATGACACCCTTGTGTTATACGGTGACAGGCAAATCATTTAAAATATCTAAACTATAATTTCCTGTAGTTCACATGAATTGGATATTCTGAAGTCCATTTGTAAAAGGATATAATTCAATTCAATCTTCCAGCTCTTCCATGACCTAATGACATCTTATTTATTTTTTCTTCACTCTGAAATCATTGTTTGCATTTTTACAGAAGGCTTACTCTAACCTATCAACTTACTCTCGGTGTAATTTGTGTATGATAATAGCTAACATCTGCTATTACTATTTTTTTATAATCATGGGATCACACTATGTGCAATACACTGCATTGTATGTTTTGTTCATTAAATGTATTGTGTGTATATGCTAGTATGTCACTACTACCTTTTTGTAAACAGTTTTCCATTATATGATTGTACATCATTTAATTTAAAAATTTCCTGTTAGTACATGCTTTAGTGACATACATTTTTTATTATAAACAAAGCTGCAATGTAAATACATGGTACATGGCATTTTATGCATTTCATTAGTGCATTTGTGTATAGATATGCAAGCATATCTGTAGAGTTACTTCCTAGAAATAATGTTATTGGATTTAATGATATACGTATTTCACAATTTGTTAGATATTTCTAAATTGTAATGCTAAAATACTCTAAGAATTTATATTCCCCAAATCTGTGCAGGATGTTTACCATATCCTTACCCTTTCTGAATAGTGCCCCTCCTTTTTCATTTTCACTAATTTAATAGATATAAGTCCTTGTCAGTTTTCACCTGTGAAACCTTTTTATCAGCTATTTTCATGTTTCCTGTAAAAGCTCATGTCAAACCAGCTGTGTCTTTGGAAACAGACCTTTCAGAACTTTTTGTCTTCTCCTGCTTCTTCCCCCACTTCCACCATAAAGGATTGTGTATTTTCAACTAAAGAAAAAACACAGAAAGGTAGTTTGGAGCTATATTCCTTTTTTAACAAGTCAGCTAAACTTCTGCAATATTCACACCTTGGTCTTTGATCCTGCTCATCTTCAGCATGCCTCAGGGGAGACTCTTCTTAAGTTAGCCCATCTGGCCATTATGCCCTCTGATGACACTGCAAAAGAATAAAATAAACAAAAACCTTGGGCTATCATCAACCAAACCACCCAAACTAATGCATTAGAGGGCATATTTATTAGTACATTTGAAGATTTGTGGAATTATCAAACTTAGCTTTTTTTTTTTAAAGATGCCCTTCCATAATACATAATAAGTATGATATTTCAAGGTAATTGGAACAAATTGCTGAATTTAATTTGGTTTTTATAATGAATCACAGTAACTCCTCACTTTTAACTTAAAATACTAAGATAAGAGCACTGATTGCTGCATTTGTGGATGGTTTTGTTGCTGGCTTAAGGTGGCATCATCAATTCAGGGAACTTTTTTTTTCTGACTTCCAGGCTTATTTCTTTATAGTTTTTTGGGGGGTACAGGTGGATTTTGGTTGCATGGATAAGTTCTTTAGTGGTGATTTTTGAGATTTTAGTGCACTTGTCACCTGAGCAATATACACTGTATCCAATATGTAGTATTTAATCCCTCACCACCCTCCCAAACTTCACCCCTCAAATCCCCAAAGTCCGTTGTATCATTCTTATGCCTTTGTGTTACCATAGCTTACCTTCTGCGTATAAGTGAGAACAAGATATTTGGTTTCGCATTCCAGAGTTACTTTACTTAGAATAAATACCTCCACCTGCACCCAATTTGCTGCAAAAGACATTATTTTGTTCCTTTTAATGACTGAGTAGTATTCCATGGTGTATATATATATATATATATATATATATATACACCACACTTTCTTTGTTTACTTGTTGGTCGATGGGCACATAGGTTGGTTACATGTATTTATAATTAGAAATTGTGCTGCTATAAACATGTATGTGCAAGTGTTTTTTTCATATAATGGCTTCTTTTCCTCTGGGTAGATACCCAGTAGTGGGATTGCTGAATGAAATGGTGGTTCTACTTTTAGTTCTTTAAGGAATCTCCATACTGTTTTCCATAGTGGTTGTACTAATTTGCATTCCCACCAGCAGTGTAAAAGTGTTCCTTTTTCACCACATCCATGCTAACATCTATTGTTTTTTGACTTTTTAATTATGGCTGTTCTTGCAGGAATAAGGTGGTATCTCATCATGGTTTTAATTTGCATTTCTCTGATAATTAGTGATGTTGAGCATTTTTTCATATGTTTGTTGGCTGTTTGGATATCTTATTTTGAGAACAGTGTATTCATGTCCTTCCTCACTTTTTGATGGGGTCATTGTTTTTTTCTTGCTGATTGGTTTGCATTCCTTGTAGATTCTGGACACCAGTCCTTTGTCAGATTCATTGTTTGCATATATTTTCTCCCACTGTGTGGGTTGTCTGTTTACTCTGCTGATTATTTCTTTGGCTGTACAGAAGCTTTTTGGTTTAATTAGGTCTGATTTGTTTACTTTTGTTTTTGTTGCATTTGGTTTTGGGTTCTTAGTCATGAATTCTTTGCCTAAGCCAATGTCCAGAGAGTTTTTCTGATGTTATCTTCTGGAATTCTTATGGTTCAGGTCTTCAATTTAAGTCTTTGATCCATCTTGAGTTGATTTTTGTATTAGGTGAGAAATGGAGGTTCAGTTCCATTCTTCTACATGTGGCTTGCCAGTTTTCCCAGTATCATTTATTGAATAGGGTGTTCTTTCCCCAGTTTTTATTTTTATGCGCTCTCAAAGATCAGTTAGTTCTATTTGGCTTTACACCTCGGTTCTCTGTTCTGTTCCTTGATCTATGTGCCTACATTTTACCAGTACCATACTGCTTTAGTAACTATAGCCTTGTAGTATAATCTGAAGTTGGGTGATGTGATGCCTCCAGATTTGTTCTTTTTGCTTAGTGTTTATTTAACTATGTGAGCTCTCTCTTTGGTTCCATATGATTTTTAGGATAGTGTTTACTCATTCTGTCAAGAATAATGCTGGTATTGATGGGAATTGCATTTGAGTCTGTAGAATGCTTTGGGCAGTATGGTCATTTCCCAATATTGATTCTTTCCATCCATGAGCATGGGATGTGTTTCCATTTGTTTGTGTCATCTATGATTTCTTTCAGCAGTGTTTTGTAGTTTTTCTTGTGGAGATCTTTTTCTTCCTTGCTGAAGCATATTCCTAGGTATTTTCTTTTCTTTCTTTTTTGCAGCTGTTGTAAAAGGGATTGAGTTCTTGATATGATTCTCAGCTTGTCACTGTTAGTGTACAGCAGTGCTACTGAGTTGTGTACATTGATTTTGTAACCTGAGACTTTACTGAATTCGTTTATCAGATCTAGGAGCTTTTTAGATGAGTTTTTAGGGATTTCTAGATATACGGTCATATCACTGGCAAACAGCAACAGGTTGACATCCTCTCTTCCAATTTAGATGCACTTTATTTCTTTCTCTTGTCTGATTGCGCTGGGTAGGACTTCCAATACTATGTTGAATAGAAGTGGTGAAAGTGGGCATTATTGTCTTGATCCAATTCTCAGGGGGAATGCTTTCAACTTTTCTCCATTCAGTATGCTTTTGGCTGTGGGCTTGTCATATATGGCTTTTATTACTTTGAGGTAAGTCCTTTGCATGCTTATTTTGTTGAGGGATTTTTATCATAAAGCAATGCTGGATTTCATTAAATGCCTTTTCTGCATCTATTGAGATGATCGTATGTTTTTCTAAATTCTGTTTATGTGATGTATCACATTTATTGAATTGCGTATGTTAAACTATCCCTGCATCAATTTAGGGGCCTAATTATCATAACCTTTCCACTGTCGGGTTATGCTCATGTTGAATCTGAATTGACAAGTAAAGCTTGACGTCATCAAAAGGGTGAAAAATTACAATGTAAGATATCATTAACAACAATTATATTGATTCTCTAGCTAGCTCTGCTTAATCCAAATACTTAGTTTTCTTGAATTTATTTTGTCCTCTACATTAATTTGGTAAAACATTTCTCTTAGACCAGATGCAAGGGAGCACAGGGATAGAGAAAGAGTGTGAAACAGGCAACTGTTGTGAACTGTTCAGCAATTTTGCTGAGAGTCAAACATTGCAATTAAATTCACAGAAATAACTTATTGAATTGCAATTTAAAATTTTATCTCTTCTTGTTTCTTCTCACAAAAAAATAATGGAATCAAAAATTATAAAAATGTTGTTGGTTTTTTACTCGTGAATCCAATTAGAAATTATGCAGAGTTAAGAAAAGACACATTTAAATACTAAACAAAATTGTTTTCATAGCCTTTTAATATCTTTTCCTTCAAAGGAACTTATTTTTAGGCCTGGTTCGTAGTATTCAATATTATACACTTCCGTTAGTTTAGTTATTATTGATGTAGATATTTACATGAAAATACCAGCTTGATTGTTTGTGAAACCAGATTGTTAGTTTGTTACTTTTCATTCATTGTCTCAATCCGTAAAATATTGTGTTTAGCTGCAGTAGACAGATTTATGGATTCAGGTACACAGTGAGCAGATGAGACAGATGCATTCTAAATCAACCCAAATCCAATTTTTATTCAAATATTCTCTGAAATACAAACCTAATTTTTAGATCTTTTTTTTTTTGATAAGCAGTGCTGTGTTTTTTCTGGAGTATGAGATACATTCTATAATTTGAAATAGTGAAAAGTTTTATTTTCTAGACAGAAGAATAATATTCATAAAGGAGCTTTGTTATAGTGTAATAAACACTGATGGTCTCTTCTGGATTATTGACCTTGGTGTCATCATTTTTAATCACACTCTGTACTTTTATCCCTGTAGTTATTTTATTTGTCTTTACTTATTAAAAATAATTTTAGATATTAAAATTTGAATACAATTGTCTACCTAAAATTGGAGATTATTTAGTAATCTCCAACCTTTGGCATTGAATACTTCAATTATCATTAATAAGGACAATGTCAGATTCATTTCAAATTACATACTGTTATGAAATCTAAGATAATTTCTTAGGTAGCATGATAATTATTTCAATTATTATTATTTGTGAACTGGGTTTATTCACTTTTACAGACTTGTAGAATATATACTTCCATATCCCCAGCAGCTCACACTGTAAGTGTCTGAAGACAGAATCATAAATTTCAATTTGGTTCTTCTGCCTTTTAGTCCTCTATGTCTCTCAAGTGTTATGACACTCCACTTCCCCATCCCCGTAACTAAGGAACAAATATCTATAAAGTTTTCCACATCTCTTTGATTGGCAGATGAAGGGGGAAAACAGATCACAAATTTTGTTGCACACCGAGTCCCTGCTAAGGCACTAGAATTTCATGTCAACATGAAATCCTGGTCTATGCTTTTATCAGAAAATTGAGTGTGTTAGAAACTTGGAGGTCTACAGACTGTCATTTTTATCCTTTGAAAAAAGGCCAAACTCTCATCCAGCGAGTCCAGGTGAGCTTATACTAATTTCCCTGGATGTCATTTTAATTGTTTATTTGTATGATTTGTTTATTCAAAGAGACATAATTTTAAAATATTTTTATAGGTCTGAACACAGAGTGGCCATTGAATAAATACAGACTAATTAGACGGCCATTTGGAGCACGATTTTCTACCCTTTTTTTCTCCCAAATTTCTTATCAAAATTAAAACCTAATGAACAAATAGAACTTTAAATACAGAATGTGACAAACTGGAATGCAAACCCTCACATCTGTCTCTCTCAGATTTTATCAATTTGCGATCTTACTCTCTCCACGAGTCACACAGCAATCATCAGATAAAACAGATGGACCAGGCTTTCTGGAATAAGAAAACATGCTTTTGTATTGCCTCTACCGAATTTGTCTCAGCTGAACTCTATATCTTCGTTGTAGTTACTTGGAGGAAGGGCAAAATCAAGATTAGAAGCACAAACAGCTTGTTTTCTTCATATCTTAAGAGAAAGGGAGTATGAGAGAAGGTAATAGGAGAGACAGTAAGTGGGCAGTAACTTCCTTATTGAATAAGAAATTCAATAAGGAATAAATGTTTGCGAAAAAGTCAGCCCAATTTCAAAGAAGTGGTTGCTGATAATTGAGGCATTGTATAGTAGTGGCAAAGAATTTGGGTTCTGGCATTAATTGTACAGTTCAAATCCTAGATCTGCCTCTTGCTAGCATAACCTGTTTTCATTTCTGTAAAATAGGAATATGAATAACAATGATTATTTCATAGAGTGGCTGTGAGGGTTAACTGAATTTCATGTAGTTAACCCTCAATAAATGCTAGCTATTATTTTTCTGAAAAATCTCAAAGTTCTAATACGTCTAAGCTCATCGTATTGTTGTCATCATATTGTTGTAGTAATTGCCCTAGTTATAAGAGATATGAAGAAAAAAGTATGTATTCAAATTTACAAAGCCCATGAAAATCACTTTCTTGTAGTTCATTTCTATTTGAGGATAACCCCAGGATACTTCTTTCAGTCCAGACAGTCCTGTTCGCTCCAACCCAAACTCAACTCTAAATCTAAAACTTGTTTGAAAAAAATTTTTAAAGAGCTATCTACCTATCATAAGCTAATCTTAAAGGCTAAAGTGGGCTTCTTGATACTACTTATTTTGGAGGCTAGATCAATATCAGTAAGTTCCTTTATCAACAGGCCCCATACAGATTATTTTTTTTACTTAAAAATACTTGAACAATTGAAATGACTCTGTAAAACATTTAATTTAGTTTTATAAAATTGGTGGCAGCCTGGGCATGGTGGTTCACACCTGTAATCCCAGCACTTTGAGAGGCTGAGGCAGGTGGATCTTTTGAGCCCAGGAGTGTGAGACCAGCCTGGACAATATAATGTGCCCGCATCTCCATAAAAACTAAAAAATATAATAGTTGGGTGTGGTGGCACATGTGTGTTCTCCCAGCTACTCAGTGGGCTAAGGTGCAGGGGCGGGGATTGTTAAACCCAAGAGGTTGAGGCTGCTGTGAGCCATGATGATGCCACTGCACTCCAGCCTGGCAACAGAGCAAGATCTCTTCTAAAAAAAAAAAAAAAAAAATGGCATCATTGCATTGGATATGTTGCTATGTTGCTTCAGGAAGCACATCTGGCCAGAACATGCAACACTATAAAGTTTTTTTTTTCCTTAATCCCATTTCTTATTCGAAAATGGAATATACATGTCTAGAATTTTTTATAATGCTTTTTGTTGTGGCACCCAAGTACTTTCATTCATCAAATCAGTGGAAAGCTAAACTCTGTGGTGCTGAGTAGGGATAAATCTAATAAAAACAAAGCCATTCTGCCTTCTATAAATATTTTCACATGGAACATTATCATATCAAAACTGAACTCATTTTCACATGGAACATTATCATATCGAAACTGAAAAGTTTGTTTAGAAAACAAACTTTTAGGAATATTAAGAAGACTGTTATAAACATTTATTTGGTTAAGATTTGATTCTCATTTTTGTACGTTTAAAATGTATACTTGGGCCGGGCGTAGTGGGTCATGCCTGTAATCCCAGCACTTTGGGAGGCCGAGGCGGGTGGATCACCTGAGGTCAGGAGTTTGAGACCAGCCTGGCCAACATGGTGAAACTCCGTCTCTACTACAAATACAACAGTTATCTGGGCGTGGTGGCGCATGCCTGTAATCCCAGCTACTTGGGAGGCTGAGGCAGGAGAATCGCTTGATCCCAGGAGGCGGAGGTTGCAGTGAGCCGAGATTGCGCCACTACACTCCAGCCTGGGCAGCAAGAGCAAAACTCCATCTGGAAAAAAAAAAAAAAAAGAACTACACTTGGAAAGCTTAGAGATATCTAGTTACATACTTTATGATTGTGATTTCATTGCCAGTTTGTTATGCTGCAGATAAATTTTTTCAGAGCTCTCCATTTCAAAGTCAAAGGAAACTCTTCAGGTATGCCTCATCGTCAGGACTAGCACTAATCTTGCCAAATATTGACACTCTATTGGTATTGGGCAGTTTCATAGTTATGTTGCTTGGTTACAGTGTGCACTTTTAGCCACACACAGTGAAAACTGAAAGAACTGAGTGATGCAACAGCAATGAATTTTTGCAAAACTATTATTAATAGTAGGAAAACAACTTTAAATATTTTCCTCCTGATGATGTACTAGTAATTTTCTCTTGAAACATATAACTTTTCTTCGAAACTTAGAAACTTTTGTAGGAACAAAATTTTATCATCTATTTCTGTGAAATTATTCTATTGTAGACAACACACTTTGCTATTTCTAAAATAGTTTCACAGTGGTGGGCAATTAAAAGGTTGGGGGCTGGGAGCAGGAGAAACAGAAATACAAAAAAACAGTAGCTTAGCAAGGGCAGGAGGTAGTAGAGTGGGAAAGAATTTATCACGGACATTGCTTAGAATTGCTAGTGTACGGTGATATTAAAATGTAGGTTGCATATGCATAAGATATATTACTATATTTGAGTTCTGTACAGACAGTGTACCCCTCTACTGCCTGTACTGGTTACAGCTTCATTGCCCCACCCTTGATACATCACTAACCCACATTATGGGAAGGACTAGTGGAAAATAAATTTATGTTAATATAAAGAAAGAACTCTCTTCTGACCCCACAGAGGAGAGTGTTAGCATGAACCAGTAGAAAATGGCATGGGTTGCTCACGAAATTTGTCCTACAGCATGTAGAGTATTTGCTATGTGCAAGTACTTGAGAGTTTTATTTCTAACATTTAGAAGTCTCCTTCAATGTGGTTGTTACCTGTCTGTCATATGAGAAAACTAGGACCCAGAGATTTGATAGTTTTGCAAGGAGTCACAACTAGCTAGCTAGTGGTGATTCTGGGCTTCAAACTCCAGTCTATATGACTCAAGAGTTCACTGTCTTCCTACTAGGCAGGCATTACCTCTCTGGCACCTACCTCATTTTAAATGGGATTTTGATGGATAGTGCTTACAGTTTCGGTTTGGGGTTGGTTTTTTTTTTTTTTTTTTTTGTTAGCTTATTTTGATTATGTCACATATATTTTCTAACTATTGGTTAGAAAAGAGGTTGGCAATTTTGCATACCTTTTTGATAAGGTGTTCTTGAATTGCATGAAGATAAGCTAGCCTCCTTATGAAGTTGTATTTTGGAGTAGTAGTATTGTGTGAAAAAAATATAGAAATCAATCTTCAAAGTCTAGAGAAATTAGAAAGTTTTATTGATTTGTAAAAACTGAATTCAGTAAGGTTGAAGAATAAAGAGTTGAGGGATCATATCTCTTGTCTCCAGTTATTTTTTTTATTGTTACTTTTGACATTTCACTGATCCCCAGGAATCCAGAGTGCATGAAGGAAAGAAAGGATAGAAAATAAGGCAAAAGTCAAAGTTTACAATTACTTCATGCAGTAGAATTTTGTTTGAGGAAGTACCTAGATAACACCTAACAAGGTTAGATTATAAATTCATGGCTCAGTTTTGGGTTGAACAGATTGGTACCTTATTAGTGGGTGTGAAGGAAAGGAAATCTGACATGGGAGCATCAGATTCTTTGCAATAACCTGAACCTCTGGTAGACCCAGAAATTTGATAAGCATTATACAATCCAGTATTCAAAGAAGTATGCTCACGTTCTGAAAAACTAGTATCAATAATCATGATAATAATGAGTCATCTACTTAATGGGCCTTCTAAAGGACAGGTTCTTTTATGGTCCTCACAGCAACAATCAGGGAAGGTTTTATAATTATTTACAAGTGAGCTGCAGAAGATTGAATAGTTTTTTCAAGATCACGTGAATCATGAGTGAAAGTATTTATATCTGAATTTGCATTTGTGCATCTCACAACCTGCCCTCATTCTAGCAGATCTTACTTGGCAAGGTTAATTCACTGAGTAGTTCATGGGCATGGGATGCCAGAATTTTGAAGATGCAATAAAGTTTGGAATGAGGCATCTGTCTGCATTGTCATTCAGGTAGTTGAACCAATTTTAAGAAAAGCAAAAGGATAAGACAGAAAAGGGCTCAGGGTTTAGCCCATGGTGAGAGAAGGTCAAGAAGGGTTAGGTTGGATGACAATGTTTGAGGCAAGTGCACCAGGGCTTCAGGGCATGTTCCAGAACCAAAGTGTGAACTAGAATACATATTGGTAAATCAAGGCAGAAGCATAGTCCTGGTACCAATATAGAAAGAATGTGAGGAATATTATTGTTAGGTGGGCATCCCAACTACATTTTTGGGTTCTAGATACCAACAGCTAGTGGATGTGAATCTGTTTGTCAAGATTAATTTAAAGAGGAGTGGGAGAAATCCACTGTATAATTTACAAAGTTCAGTTTGTGCAACTGAACTAGATTTGAAATTGGGAAGAAAGGAAAACAAGCCTTCTGCACATCCCTATCACAGTTTTGTTAGTTCTCTGTAATTAATTCAAAATAACAGCTGTAGAAAACACATGTAAGATGGTATTACTCTCTGTATGTGTATATGTGTGTCTAGTTTTCTTTGATACTCACATATATACTTGCTTCCTGTGGATCTTTGCTGTGCTAGTAAATTATTCTCATCTTGACATCTGATTTCTCTGTCATTCACAGCTTTTGGAAAGATGGTAAAATAGGGGCATTTTCCAAGTTCATATTTTAGTAGTACTAGGACATATGTATTGGGAGATCTCCTAAGATGTTAGTACTAACTCATGCAATTTGGCAGGCATAACTTTTTATATTCTAAAATATAATGCTGCTAACTGGATTTTATGAAATCCTTCTGTCTTTTCTGCTTCTAAAACATAAAATGACAGCTAAAGTAACACTTCCTAAACAAAATGTTTCGAGGATTTAAATGTGATTGTTTTATGAATATTCTGTCAGGAGTAATCTTATATAAATTTGGATTTTTTTTTTACTTTGACACGATTGATTTTTTTTTTCCTCTAACATTAGGCTTCAAGCAATATTAGAGAATGAAAAAGGGTAATGACGTTACTGATTGAAATGTTGTTTGGTTTACTTTTATAACAAATTATGTATTAAAGTCTTCAAGAAACCTGTTTTATAGCTTGAGGTTATAGTATTGCTAGGAACTTTCTTTAAATTTTTTATCAGTTAATATTTTCTAAATACATAGAATATGACACTTGATTTAGTAAGTATGTATTATAATATGAATGGAAACTCTTAGGAATCATGGCATTGAACAAACTGATATTCACAGTAAATGTGCAGGTGAATTTTAGGTTATGCTATTGATTTTGAATTCAATGATAAAATGCTGTGCTATCTTTGTCATTGAACAATATAAAGCTGGAGTTTTGCTCTGTGAGTTCAAGAATGGTGTTTTATTTGCTCCTGTTTCTCTTCATCCTATAGCACAGTGCTTGGCAATTGAAAGGTGCTCCATAAATCATTGTTGAACTGTGGTTTTCTAAGTAGAAAAATCTCAATGGTGTGATAGCAGGCTAAGTGACCATCGCTAGCATGAGCTGCTTTATTTAGTAAGCCATAATATTTTCCTTCTGAGCTGAATGCTGCTGCTGATTCAAAGTAATAAAGGCAAGAGATTCTTCCTGACATGCAGAATGAGACAAAGAATTAATCAAATCTTGTCATCAATCAGTCATCAAATATGCTTCAGGATTCTGCTTTACTCATTGAGTGTCTCTGTTGCACCATAATTACCAAATGGTCTTATTTATCATTTAGTGCTAAATGAATGCATCCACCTTTTATACTTAGGCTTAGAGTGTCCTGGGTTTCAACAGTGCTCATTGGTCCTGCCTTTCATTCTTCTTCCTTCCTTCCTTCTTACCTTCCTTCCCTCCTCTCTCTTTCTCTTATCTTGTCTTCTTTTCTACAGTTCATTGTTTTATTGTACATAGTCTACATGGTTTCATAATTTAGTTTAGCTATTGATAGTTTTAGTAAGTTTAATTCTAAATATCTGCTCCTTTTTATTTTCATTTTTTAACAGACAGAGTCTCACTCTGTCGCACAAGCTGGAGTGCAGCAGTGCAAGTATAGCTCACCGCAGCCTCAAATTCGTAGGCTGAAGAGATCATCACACCTCAGCCTCCTAAGTAGCTTGGACTCCAAGTGTACACCACCCAACCTGGTTATTTTTTAAAATTTCTATACAGACTGGGTCTCAGTATGTTGCCCAGGCTGGTCTGGAACTCCTGGCTTCAAGTGATCCTCCCACCTCAGCCTCTCAAATGCTGGGATTACAGGTGGGATCCACTGCACCTGTCCTCTGCTCTCTTCTTCTTTTTAACTCTTATGTATGGTTCTTTAGCAAATAGCCATAACTTTTCTTTGTAGCTTTGGTAGGGACAACTTTGTCTTTGAGAGGACGTTTGCATCTATGACTACTGAAGTCTTGTATCTGCAACCAGTGCTTCTAGGAAGCTGACGGTTATGCTGTAGCATTCTGGGCTACCCTGGAGAACAAGTTAGAAACAGTCATAAACAAACGTATCCATTTGCCCAGTGAACACAGTGAGGTTTCAATATGTGGAAAGCATTGTGCAGACACTGTTGCAAGAGAGAGTTGAATCAAGATAGTAATGTGTCTTCTCCTACAGTGTACAGAGATTGAACCAAAGACTGGACTTCTAAATTGATCTTTATAATCTGCTAAAACATATATTCTTAAAGCTCAAAGTTATTTTTTATTCCTAATGAGGTGTTATTTGAATAAAATAACATAAAAAGAATATATACATATTATTTTGTTATTTATATACTTGATAACATATTTGATAGAAGGAAAAATTTGCCCAAGCATGAGATTATATCCAGATTTTTTTATCATTAAGAATATTTACTGTCTATATCTGATAGAAGAATCCCATTTCTCATGAGAAAATCAATGGATAAAATTCAGTGTTTCTTCAAAACCAAAACTTCCTTTATCAAAACCTGTAGAACACAGGTTTCAGCAAACTTCGTAAAATATTCAGATCAAATTTGGGTTTGTTATTGATTTTCAGGAGGATTAATCTCTTTATATTAAAAGCTCATTTGGTCACACACAAAAAAGAACATCTGTTTAGTTTTTTTCTAGGATTATGGCATAATATTAATAATATAATCCATATCCTTTATTGTGTGCCTATTATAGCCAGAAAGTTTGCAAATATTTAACTGGAGAAACAGATTAGTTGAATGTGAATTCAAATTCCAATGCTGTTGTTTATTACTGGCATAGAAATTATTAAGTTTTGTGAGCATAGATTTCCTTCTCTGTAAAAAGAGGATGATAGTATCTTCTCTTTAAAATTATTTTGTGGTTAACTGGTACAAGCCATGTAACATCACATTATATATAATGTGTGATATGTATAATGTGAATATCTTATGATATATGTATATATATATTATGTGTGTAAAATAAAATGTATATGTAATATCTCATGTTGTTTCCTTTCAGTTCTCATTTTTTTTCTATCTGCCAGGTACCTGCCCTCCAAGAGTTTTGAAATTTGGCTAAGGTCACCAACTGGGTTGCTGGGACTCAAACCCAGTTCATTCAGATTCAAAATCCACACCCTTTCTAATCTACCTTACTGCCATGTATCACAGTCATTTCTCTCCCTACCACAGCATGACGAAGCAATGTGCTGATGGTGATTGTTCTTTTCAATCCCTCAAAGGGGCTTTTATCTGAAAATGTTCTCCCAGAAGTCTTACTATATTCTTTTTCTAAAAGTTTGTACTCACTTAGGTTCATGCTGGTTAGTGTTATGCTCCAAATTAGCCTATATTCTTAGCCTATAAACCTGATTTCTACTCTGAGAAAAAAATACCATATAACTATTAATATAAAGGGAATCTATACTAGTTTTTGTTAAATATAAGCAAGAAAGGTTGTTGTTTCCGTAGGAAAAAAAATGTGTGAATTTGATTCAATCCCTGCATTGTATTTAGGTCTTTCCAGGCCGAATATTTGGAGAAAGAAGGAAATGTCACAATAGTTTTTACTAAGAGGACTACAAGAGACCCTATGCTGTAATAGCAGAATCGGATTGCTTTATTTAAATCCCATCATTATTTATCCAATAGTTCCAAAATTGGAAGTGTTAAATCAATTGTGCTGTGTGTCAAAAGTAATTTGTTGCTAAAAAATAGTCAAAGTACTCATGTTTTCAGATGATTTACTTTTTAATTAAAAATTATTTTGTAGATTAGATGTGATTCCAGGTTATTACAGTATTTATAGCATTGTCATGTATTTGTGTTTTTATATTTTCCCTGGTAAGGAAGAGATGGAATTACATATAGAGTCATAGGTATACTCAAAAAAGTGAATTTCTTATGTGACTACCACTACCTCATTAGTTTCCATCAGCAAAAAAAAAAAAAAAAACTAAACTAATTCACTAAAATAAGTTTGGGTAACAACCATGTGCCGAAATTTAAATATATATATATATATATATATATATATATATATATACACATACATACACACACAGATGGTCCTCAGCTTACAATAATTCAGCAAGATTTTTCTTTACCATAGTGCAAAATCAATACACATTTAGTAGAAAGAAAAGCAGCATGATACTCTCTTCTGATGCTGGACGGTGGCCACAGCTCCCAATCAGCCACAGGATCACTGGGTAAACAACTGATGCTCCACAGTGTACTGTGTTGCCAGATTATTTTGCCCAACTATAGGCTAATGGAAGTGTTCAGAACACAGTAAAATAGGCTAGAGTAAGCTCTGACTTTCCTTAGGTTAGGTATTTAAATGCATTTTTGACTTAAAATATTTTCAACTTACAGTTGATTTATCAGGATGTAACCCCACTGCAAGTTGAGGAGCATTTTGTAACATATTTTATCAATCAGTATATATCTGTATTTATCTATATCTGTAAATACACACACACACACACGCACACATACATATACACACAAACACACAAAGAGAAATGCTGTAAGCAATGGGAGACTAGTGTCTGAAATACTTCATTTCTGAAGAAAGCAAAAGAAAATCTTGTGTGTTTCTTTTTCCAACTTTTATTTTAGATTCAAGAATTACATGTGCGTGTTTGTTACCTGGATATATTGTGTGATGCTGAGGTTAAGGTTACAAATGATCCTGTCACCCAGGTACTGAGCATAGTACCCAACAGTTCATTTTTCAGCCCTCAAGCCACCCTTCTTCCATCTCTCCTCTAGTAGTCTCCAGTGTCTGTTGTTGCCATCTTTATGTCCATGAGTACCCAATGTTTAGCTCGCACTTATAAGGAAGAATACGTGGTGTTTGCTTTCTGTCCCTGCATTAATTTGCCTAGGGTATCGGCCTCCAGCTATATCCAAGTTGGCTGCAAAGGGCATGACTTTATTCTTTTTTGTGGCTTTTTCTATGGTTAGATTTTCACTCCCTCGGTTAGATTTATTCTAGATATTTGTGTGTGTGTGTGTCACTCTTGTGAATGGGATTGCATTCTTCATTTGGCCCTCAGCTTGAACATTATTGGTATATAAACAAGCTACTGATTTTTGTACATGATTTTGTATCCTGAAACTTTGCAGAATTTATCAGTTCCAGGAGCCTTTTAGTGTAGTATTTAGGATTTTCTAGGTATAGAATCGAGTGGTGTGTGAAGAGAGATAGTTTGACTTATTTTCCCATTTGGATGCCTTTTATTTCTTTCTCTTGCCTGATTGGCCAGCTCTTCCAATACTATGTGGAATAGGAGTGGTGAGAGTGGGCATCCTTGACTTGTTCCAGTTCTCAAGAGGATTGTTTCCAGTTTTTGCCCATTCAGTATGATGTTGGCTGTGAATTTGTCATAGACGGCCCTTATTATTTCGTGGAGTGTTCCTTCAATGCCTAGCTTCTTGAGGGTTTTATCAGGAAGGGATGCTGGAGAAAATCGTGTGTTTGGGGGATTGTCAAAAAGAATTAGTTTAAGGAATGACATTATTAGAGATGATTTTAGCAATGCAACACTTTAAAGGACATGCTAATTTCACGATTACTACAGAACAATTTTGGAAACATAAATTAATAATACATGATGGCATTGAGGCTGGAAAATAATTATTTGCAGTTTGACTACTTTGTTATGAGTCACTTAATTACTCCAAAATAGGAACTACTTTTATTCCCGAGACTTTAGTTTTCATTGTATGTGACTATAAATATATGTAACTATAAATATATTTTTGCCAAGTTCTTACCATGTAAAACTGCCTATCTGATGCTATCCAATATGTACTGTAATATATTGCTCTTAATTAACGTTTGAGAAAATCAGTGACATTAAAAAATATAACCGAAATGGAAAAGAAACTCCTTTTATCAGGTTATTTCATTATTAATGAGTCTTGTTTACTTCTATTCCAGGACGCAAATCAATTTCACAGTGGCTATTGATTTTACAGCATCAAACGGTGAGTGTTTTGATTATCCCCTGATAAAAATCATCAGCAATTACATGAAAAATAAATTTATATTTTCATAAGTGTTAATTTATTTCTATATTTACATACTTCTGAAGTTTTCCATATAAAATTTACATAATTTTTTCTTTCTTTTTAATGTTGTGAAATAGTTCAAATATACAAAAGACTAGAAATAATATAACAAAAATGCTAATAGTCTCATTCAGATTTATTATATATTGAAATATTGTCATTGTTTTACATGTGTTTAAAATAATACAAATTTTAGATGTACTGAAGCCTATTGTATCTCTGACCCATTCTCCTACCCTCTGTTCTTTTCCATCTATAACTATAATTCTGAAGTGTATTAAGTTATAATCCTCATTTTTATAGTACTTTTGTATGTATGAATTTATATAAATGTAATTCAACAGTATCTGTCCTTTATAAAGTTGGTTCACTTTTACTCAATTATTAATTTTTAATAATTACTTATGTTAACACATTAATATCTAATTCACTCAGAGGGACGGATATATAACAGCCCATGTATGGATATTCATAATTTATGTATTAAACCTTTTAAGAAAAAAAGATAGTGGGCTTTTATTTTGAAGCAACTTTATTTCAAACAGAACAATCATTTGAAATTAGTTATTATGTATCATCAGAATGTTAACTTCATTATGTAACTTTTACCAGAAGTTGCCACTAGTTTATATTTGTCTTTTTTTTCTTTCAAATGGCTTATTGTCTATGGATCCCACTTTATATTCTTTTTATTTCATTTTTATTTCACAATCATTCACGTTTTACAAAACAATAGAAATTTTAGGGAAGAAAGTACCTTAGAGGTCACTTAATTGAACCTTCTTCTTATACAAGCGAGGACATTCAGATCCAGGAAATATTTTTACTAATAAACACACTTGACTTGTTAGTTCTAGAGTTAGAACTACAGATAAGACCAGACTCTAATTCAGCTTTCACTGCATGTCACGTTCTTTCTGCAACATTATGGCTTCCAATTAATTATTTTTACTCGTGTTTTATTCAGCATAATATAGAACATAGAAATAATACCTAAGGCCAGGCATGGTGGCTCATGCCTGTAATACCAGCACTTTGGGAGGCTGAGGCGGGCAGATCACCTGAGGTCAGTAGTTTGAGACCAGCGTGGCCAACATGGTGAAACCCCATCTCTACTAAAAATGCAAAAATTAGCCAAACGTGGTGGCACACACCTGCAGTCCCAGCTACTCAGGAGGCTGAGGCAGGAGAATCACTTGAACCCAAGAGGTAGAGGTTACAGTGAGCCAAGATTGTGCCACTGTACTCCAAACTGGGTGACAGTGAGACTCCATCTCAAAAACAAAACAAAATAAAACAAACAAACAAACAAAAAGAAATAATACCTAAAATCCAACTGCTTTAAAATACTAGATTGTGTTCACTGATGAATACTAGCACAACAACTAAGATAAGCAAGAAATTATTAAATAAAAAGACAAACATTTTTGATTTGAGAAGAAACATTGACTTGAGAAGAAACAGATAATCAGAGTAGACCTATAACAAGTAAAATGACTAAATTAGTAGTTTTTAAAAGACTACCCACAAAGTTAATCTGAACCCAGGGCCAGATAGCTTCACTGGTAAATTCTAACAACTATCTGAAGAGGAATTAATACCAATTCTCCACAAACTCTTCTGAAATGTGAAAGAAGGTTACTTCCCAGCTCATTTTGTGAGGTTAATATTATCTTGATACCAAGAGAATTACACACCCAAACAAAGTAAGATTTGTCCTTGCAATGAGAGGATTTTTAATACTAAAAAATCAAATAACATAACCTACCTGTATTAGTCTTCTCTCATGCTGCTAATAAAGACATACCCAAGACTGGGTAATTTATAAAGGAAACAGGTTTAATTCACTCACAGTTCTACATGGCTAGGGAGGCCTCACAATCATGACAGAAGGAGAATGAGGAGCAAAGTTATGTCTTACATGGTGGCAGGCAAGAGAGCATTTGCAAGGGAACTCCCCTTTATAAGACCATCAGATCTTATGAGACTTATTCACTATTATGAGAACAGTATGGGAAAGACCCACCTCCATGATTCAATTACCTCCCACCTGGCCTCTCCCATGGCACATGGGAATTATGGGAGCTACAATTCAAGATGAAATTTGGGTGGGGACACAGCCAAACCATTATCAACACCCTGTCGATAGAAGAAAACACAGAAACCACATGATCATCTCAACTGATGCAGGAAAAGCATTTTACAAAGTCCGGTGCACTTTCATGTTGAAAACACTCCACAAACTAGAAATAGAAGGGGACTTCCTGGCCAGGCTCAGTGGCTCACGCCTGTATTCCTAGCAGTTTGGGAGGCCGAGGCGGATGGATTGCTTGAGACCAGCCTGGGCAACATGGTGAAACCCCGTCTCTACTAAAATACAAAAAATTAGCCAGGCGTGTTGTCACACGCCTGTAATCCCAGCTACTAGGGAGGCTGAGACAGGAGAATCGCTTGAACCTGGGAGGCGGATGTTGCAGTGAGCCGAGATCATGCCGTTGCACTCCAGCTTGGGTGACAGAGCAAGACTCCATCTCAAAAAAAAAAAAAAAAAGAAGGGGACTTCCTAATCTGATGAGGGAATCTATGTAAAGTCCACAAATAACATGATACTTAGTGGTGAAAAGCTTAACATTTTTGTCTTGAGATGAAAAACAAGACAAAAATGTATGCTCCCACCTCTTCTATTGAACATTATACTGGAGGTTGTAGCCAAGACCATTAGGCAAGAAAACTAAATACAAAATATCTGGATAAGAAGGAGAGAAATAAAAGTATCCTTATTGCAGATGGCATGATCTTGTATATAGGATATCCTAAAGAATCCACTGAAAATCTACTATAACCAATAAATAAGTTCAGCAAGTTTGCAGGATAGAAGATCAATATATAAAACTCAGTTCTTTTAATGCACTTCCAAGAAACAATTAGAAAATGAAATTCAGAAAACAATTTCCTTTATCGTAGTATCAAAAGGAATATTATACTTACGAATAAATTTAACTAGCAATTCTTCTTCTGGAAATATATATAATACAGATTTACCTGCACTCGCAGAAAATGCTATAGTTCATAGTAATTTGTAAAAAAAAAAAGTTTAGAAAGCTTCGTAGAGTATATTAGCTGGGTACTGGTGAAATAGACCGTGGTTCGGCCACAGAATGAAACACTATGCAGCCACCAAAAGGTAAGAATGAGGGAAAGGAAGGAAGGAAGGAAAGAAGGAAGGAAGGGTAGGGGAAAAAGAGAGAAGAAAGGAAAGTGGACCATTCTTTCTACTAATATGGAAAGACTTCTAAGATATATTGTTAAATGAAAATAGCAAAGTAGAGAACAGAGTTATCAGTTATCAGTGTGCTGTCCTTGACATAAGGATCGGGGCACATAACAATATAAATGCATAAATATTAGAAGTATACACAATGAACTAACAAAAGGTGACTAGCACCAGTGAATTAGGTGAACTAAGAACATTAGAGAGCAACTTCTTTATGGAAATCTTTTTATAGTATACTGATTGTGAGATTGTGAATACCTGTTCATAAAATAAACAAATATGGTTAAAAGAATGGAAAACAAGAGAAAAGAAGTGCAAAACTTATAGTCCAACAACTCTGAAACAAGATAAGTGCAAATTATTTTTTGAAGAAAACATTGTTGAAATAAATTAAAAATGAAAATAAAGAGAGAAACCAGCCATGCTTTTGGATTAGAAAACTCCACATTGTTAAGGTGGCACTATTCCCCAGAGTGATCTACAGATTTAAAGCAATCTTTATCAAAATCTGAAAGGATGTTTTGGAAGAAATTCATATGGAAATTAATATGAAATTTATTTAAAGCAATCCTTATCAAAGTCTGAAAGGACTTTTTGGAGGAAATTCATACGGAAATTAATATGAAATTGCAAAGGATCCAGAAGAGCTAAAACAAACTTGAAAAAGAACATTGAAGTAGGAAGAGTCAACATTTCTCACTTTTAAAACTTACTACAAAGCAACAGTAATTAAGACAGTGTCTTCTGGCATAAAGATGATTATTCAGATCAATGAAATGGATACAAGTTTGCAAAAGTAAACCCTGATGTCTAAGGTCAACTGATTTCAAGAAGAATACCAAAACAATGCAACGGGGGAAGACTGGTCTTAGCAAATGGTGCTGGGACAACTGGATAGCCACATGCAAAAGCAGGAAGTTGGACTCTTCCCTCGCATACGAAAATTAACTCAAAATGGATCAAATACTTAAATGTAAAAGCTAATGCTATATAATTCTCAGAAGAAAACATAGGGATGCATCTTCATGACCTTGGATTTGGCAGTTGATTCTTAAATAAGATACCAAACTCATGAGCAACAACAACAACAAAATAGGTAAAATGAACTTCAAAATCAAAACTTTTTATGCTTTGAAGGGCACTATCAAGAAAATGAAAAGACATCCCCCAAAATGGAAAAAATGTTCGCAAATCATACCTCTCATGAGGGACTTGAACCTAGAATATATAAATAACTTACAATTCAATAAAAAGACAAATAATCCAATGTTAAAAGTGGGCAAAGGATCTAAATAGATATTTCTCCAAAGAAGGATATACAAGTGGCCTATAAACACATGAAATGATTCTTGGCCAACTTAGGCATCAGGAAATCCAAATCGAAACTATAATGAGATATCATTTCATACCCACTAGGGTGACTGTAAGAAAACAGTCAAATAACAAGTGCTGGTGACGATATGAAGAAATCAGAATCCTCATAACATTGTTGGTGATTGTGTTGTTTCATTTGCATTGCTGTAAAGGAATACCTGAGACTGGGTAATTTATAAAGAAAGTAGGTTTATTTAGCTCACAGTTCTGCAGGCTGTATAAGCATGGCACCAGCATTTGCTTGGCTTCTGGTGAGGCCCAGGAAGCTTTCAATCATGATGGAATGCAAAGGGGCAGTCAGCATATTACATGTTGGGAGCAAGAGAGAGAGAGAGAGGAGGAGGTACCATGCTCCTTTTAGCAACCACCTCTCACGTGAACTAACAGAGTGAGAACTTCCCTCATTACTAGGAAGATGGTACCAAGCCATTCATGGGGGATCCTACCCCATGACCTAAACACCTCCCACCAGTCCCCATCACCAACATTGAGATTTGGAGGGGACAAACATCCAAACTATATCAGTGGGAATGTAAAATTGTACAGCCACTTTAGAAAAACACTTTGCTAAGTTCCTCACATTGTTAAATATAGAGTTACCATATGACCTAGCAATTTCATTCCTAGATATATACTCAAGAGACTTAAAAACATATGTCAGCAAAAAAACTTATACGTGAATATATATAACAGCATAATATCCCAAATGTGGAAGCAACCCAAATGTCTAACAAGTGATAAATGATAAAATCCATACAATGGAATACTATTCTGCAATAAACAAAAATAAAGCACTAATACATGCAGGCTATAAGATAGATGGTTGTTGAGATCTATAAGCTAAGTGAAAGCAGCTAGTTACAAAAGATCACATGTTATGTGATTCTGTTTTTATGAACTGTCAAGAAGAGACAAATCAATGGAGACAAAAAGACGATTAGTGATTATTTAGGGCTAGGGTGGTAACTAATGGGTACGGTTTCTTTTTGAAGTGATAAAAATGTTCTGAAATTAACTATAGTGATGATTGCACATAACTATGAATATAGTAACAATCATTGAATTGTTCTTTGTTTTATTTTGTTTTGTTTTTTGAGATGGGGGATCTCACTCTGTCGCCCAGGCTGGAGTACAGGGGTGCAATCTCAGCTCACTGCAACCTCCACTTCCAGGGCTCAAGTGATTCTCCAGCCTCAGCCTCCCAAGTAGCTGGGACTACAGGCACATGCCACCAACTCCTGGCTAATTTGTGTGTTTTTTGTAAAGACGAGATTTTGCCATGTTGCCTAGGCTGGTCTCGAATTCCTGAGCTCAAAGCGATCCACCCACCTTGGCCTCCCAAAGTGCTGGGATTACAGGCATGAGCCACCATGCCCAGCTGAATTATATATTTTAAATGGTTAATACGTAACTTATGCCATTATGTCTCAATAAACTCTTAAAAATATTCTATTGAACTGTGAGTTTCTTACAAAGGTATAGTACATCTCTAAAGCAAAATCAGATATAATTTTGATAATATTGGGTATAACAAAAGTATACATATTGTCAGTTTGTTGAAAGGGTTAAGTGAGCTATGATATAAAATTGTCAATACATGTTAAGTTCCGTGTTATAATTATTATGGCTATTAGTTGGGCCCCAATGTTATTAACCTACTACAAATTCATTGTTTAAAAGCATCTTTGCAGATACAGAGGAAATACAAACACTGTCCCAGACTCAAGGAGTTGACTCAATACTTTAAATTGCCATTTTTTTTTTTTTTTTAGTATAGAACACAAGATCCATAACAGTATAAGAGAAAAGACAATAAGGGCTGGAATAAACAAAAAGGGTTGTCTAGTATGTGTGAGACATAAGTTGGAGGAGGAGAAGGTGAATTTCAGGACAGGGTGGCAACTTGAGAGGTAGAGGTGGGAGGGAAAGTATCATTAGCAGTAATGTGAAGAGACTGGTGTAGAGGAAGATGCTGGAAAGAGATAGGTAACATCTTTGTATGGGTACAAAGGGCCCAGCTATGCATGTTAGGTTAAAATGTTTAAATGTTCTGGGGTACTAATTATATTTTTTTATTTACAGTTTTCATAGTGAAGTAAAAGTATTTGCCATATTGTCACCATTGGATTAAAACTCTTCTATATTTGTGAGTTTGAGAGTTGGGGGAAGTATTCGTTTGTTTGTTTGTTTGTGTTTGTTTTTGAGACAGGGTCTTGCTCTGTTGCTCAGGCTGGAGTACAGTGACACTATCAGGGGCTCACTGCACCCTTGACCTCCCGGACTCAAGTGATCTCCCACATCTCAGCTTCCTGAGCAGCTGAGACTACAGGCACATGCCACCACACCCAGCTGATTTTTGTATTTTTTGTAGAGGCAGGGTTTCACCATGTTGGCCAGGCTGGTTGCAAACTCCTGGGCTCAAGCTGTCCACCTGCCTCAGCCTCCCAGAGTGCTAGGATTTCAGGCATGAGAGTTGTGTTAAATAACCATTTAGTCTAGTAATGGTATTTTTAAATCTCTGATTCCACTGGGCTTTGGATCAAGTGGCAAAGTCCCTACTTTAGAAGCAAGTGTCAAAGAAAAATCACACTGGACACATTAAAAAGGCAAGAAAGGCTTTATTTAAGACCATTGCAAAGGGGTCAAGACTGTTACAACAGAGGACAAAAATTGAACTCAACTACTCCAAAACAAAAGGTTGGAGTGTTTGTGCTTGCTGAGGTGAGCTACTGGAAAAGTCCTAGAGGACATTAGCCCGGAAGTTGGTTTGTGTGCTTAGGCCATCTCTGTTTGCTAATTGGTTCTTATTGAAGTTAGGCTTCTATCTTCTCACGGAGACTGGAAGATAGGGCTGCTGTTTTTCTTGATGTTTATATTTCAAAGGGATGCCTTCCATGTCCTTGAGAAAGATACTCCTTGGTTGTAGAAGATTTACATCTCAAAGGTGCAGAGGAAGAATTTACAATTGCAAGTTTTCTAAAGTGAGAGCTGTAAGAAAAGAGCGGTCAGGGTCTTATAGTCAGGAAGGAACTTTCTACAAGTTTAGTCAAGTTGAGGGGAACATTAGGCCATTTTGATAAGAAGATACTTTTTTAGTGATTTTGTTATGTGGAGCCAGCCCTTGAACGCTGGTAACTCTTGGAAATATAAAATAAAAAAAAGTTCAATTAATTGTTTTTAGGACAAAAATATTATGTGTATAATTACCTGTCAAATAACCCAAGGGGAGATCTTTATTTTGTTTCTCTCTGGATCTCAAGTGCTTTTTGTTACTTTTGTTCCTTATCAGAAAAACTATGTCCTGAGGCTTTTCTTCTTCAGACAATGCTTTAACGTAAAATTGAGGTTCATATGCTGCTACAAGTCTCATTTAACTTTCCATTTTTATTTAAGGAACCAAATGGACTTTCAGGCTGCCTTTATGCTGGTAATTAGGGCAACTTGTTGTGAATTTCAATGTGTTTGAGTGGTAGCACATATTAATACATTACACTTTCTCTCAATTTCATCACTATTCAAGTGCAACATCCTACACAGTATAAGCATTTTGAAATTCAGAACCTTGTGGATGACCCAGACTATAATAACTGCAGCAGTTCAGCTTACAATTTTATGGTGCTTTATTATTTTTAATCACTTTTAAACGTGTAATCTCATTTTGTCCTCCGGGTAAACACAGTGGTAGGATTTATTTTACAGAGGCTGCCATACAAATGGCAAGACTTGACTCTGGCCTCTGGCTCCTAGCTTAATGTCTCATTCGAAAGTTGTGAAGAATTTTTTAGATCTAGATATTTAATCAGCCTGCACTTGAAAATCACTATACTTCCCTTTTTTAAGTGCTAAATTGGGATACTTCTCAAATATTCAGTTATTTATAGGAAGCCTTCATAATTATTGAAGTCCATTAAATCTATTGGGTCATCTTGCCATAGGCATAAGGATTCAAGCTAAAGGCACATGATTTTGTTTAAAAATAAAGATTACAATAAAATAAGATTAACAAAAGTACTTTTATACTTCCAGAACAAAAACTCAAAAATACCCTGTGGCATTGAAAATAAGAATCATTTCTGAAAACTTCTGCGTATGCTTTGGCATATCTTAGAACTTTCTATATGTCTAATATAATATAACAAATATTTCTGTGTTAATATCCATCCAAAAAGAAATGATTTGACACACTGTATATAGGCAGAAAAACATAATTTTGAATATTTCATTCTGAAATAGACACCAAGAAAAATTTTGTTAAATTTATTTACCCTAATTGCTTATGTTTGAAATATGTGTTCTGTCATCAGGCAACCCTGCTCAGCCCACTTCCCTCCACTACATGAATCCTTACCAACTGAATGCCTATGGTATGGCACTAAAAGCAGTGGGAGAAATTGTTCAAGATTATGACAGTGATAAAATGTTTCCAGCTCTAGGATTTGGTGCAAAACTGCCTCCAGATGGAAGGATATCTCACGAATTTGCTTTGGTAAGAATTTGTCAAAAGGATTTGATGTTTTGAAAAATTAATGTTAGACCTTTTAATATTGCTTTGGTACTTATTCTTTAGTCAGTCAAGTAGCAAGCTTTACTGACTGTAGCTTAATTTTGGTAAGTAATTGACTTTGGAGTGTGAACTTAATGGGAAAAAAGGACAGCTAAATAGCTTAGCCATAAATCTACCTGAAGTGCACCCACCTGATTTACAAATGGGGGTCTATTTTGGTTATCTATTGCTTGCTAACAAACCTTCCTAAAACTTAGAGATATCAAACAATATCATTCTATTATGCTTATGATTTGTGCCTCAGGAATTCAAGCAGAATATAATGGGAGACAGCGCATTTTTGCTTTGCAGTACCTGGAGTCTCAGCTTAGGTGACTTGAATGGCTAGAGATGCCTGGAATTGGTGACTGGGGCCATATTTTTCAACTTAGTTCTGGCTGTCTTTTGAATTCCTTAGATCTTCTCCATGTTATGTCTTCTGGGGCTGATATGTCTCCTAACATAACTTCTTTGCTCATGTTCATTCATGTCTTGGGCCTGAGCTTGGATAGCTGAAAAGCTGGGGTTGCCTGGACAACTCTCCCTTGTTTTACATATGGCCTGTCTCTGTAGTTATGGAGGGCTTCAGAACTGTATAGTGGTCTCACTGTAGCAAGATTTCTTATGTAGCAGCCAGCTTTCCCAGGGTGAGTAATCTAAAAGTCTAGGACAGAAACTCCAAGGATGTTTATATCATATTCTTAGAAGTCCCAAAATGTTATTTCTGCAACATCCTATTGGTCAGGCAAGTTACTAAGACCATCCCAGGTTCAAGGTAGAGGAATTAACCTTCACTTCTCAATGGGAAGAGTATCAAAGAATGTGTGGCTCTCTGTAATGTACCATCATTTTTAAAACCTAAGAAAAGAAATAATTGTGTTAAACTAAATGAGGTTTATTAATTTTCCTTTCATATGTTTCTTCTCACCATTGAATGTTTCCCTTTCTCTGTCTCTGTAATTCTCTCCTTTGCTGCCTTTCCTGCCTCTGTGTTCATTCCTTGTAACCAAACCTATACAAATATATACTGGTTTAGCCTCCAAAATCAGAAAAGTAAATGTTCCAAAATCTGAAACTTTTTGAACTCAATAAGATACTCAAAGGAAACGCTCATCAGAGCAATTTGGATTTTGGATATTCATATTTGAGAGGCTCAACTGGTAATTATATAAATATTTTAAAATCCAAAGAAATAAATTCAAATTTGAAACACTCCTGGTTTCAGCTAAGGGATACTCAACCTGTATTCTTAAGGAAGGATTTGTGCCTTACTTTTTTTTTTGGTTTATTTGTTTTTGTTTTTGTTTTTTTGAGACAGAGCCTTGCTTTGTTGCCCAGGCTGGAGTGCAGTAGTGAGATCTCAGCTCACTGCAACCTCTGCCTCCCCGGTTCAAGCAGTTCTCGTGCCTCAGCTTCCCAGGTAGCTAGGATTACAGGCATGCATAACACCTGGCTAATTTTTGTATTTTTAGTAGAGATGGGGTTTCACTGTGTTGGCCAGGCTGGTCTCAAACTCCTGGGCTCAAGCAATTCGCCTGCCTCAGCCTCCCAAAGTGCTGGGACTGCAGGTGTGAGCCACTGTGCCCAGCATTAATTTGTTCTTTGAGCCCAATTAAAACACATATAGGTTAGATATTGCTGTGGTTTCAGTCTGTCCTCTCCAGAGTTCAGGTGCTGCTAATGTAATAGTATTAAGTGAGGCCTTTAAGAGCTAGTTAGTCTGCGAGGGCTCCACCCTCATGAATGAAATTAGGCCCTTATAAAAGAGGCCTTACTCAGCTCGCCCTGCCTTCTGCGATGTGAGGATACAGCCCTTACCAGGCAACTGAACCTACTGACTTCTTGATCTTGGACTTTCCAGCCTCCAAAACTGTGAGAAGTACTTTTCTATTGTGTATAAATTACCCAATCTCAGGTATTCTCTTATAGCACAAACAGAATAAGACAGAGAGATCAGACCTCTTTAAATCTATGAAAAATAGTCTCCCACATTGATGATGAAAATAAGAATGATTATGTTAATGATAATGTTTCAACTTCAGTAATCTCTAATGATTATATTACTTTAAAATTTTCAAAGCACTTTTGTTTTTCTTTTGGATAAGACAGACAAAGGTTAAGTAGGTTTTCAGTGAAATAGTATTTGACTCAATGCTGAGTATTTACTGAGTATCGAGTCACATACTTTATACTCATTATCTCATATAATCTTCATAAAATTCCTGTGTGGTAAATATTTCATGCTGACACATTGCACTGCTCTAGAAACTGCCAATCTCATTACCAACGGTGAGAAAAGTGCACCCAGGAGTTGTATAACTCAACTCAGAGGCTCAGAAGTTAACCATTGTCCCAAAGGACAGGACTTGAACCCAGGTCAGTCTTATTTTAGAATTCATGCTCTTAACTACAGCTAAACCCCATCTTATAAAAGCACCTGTAATCTCACCTCTTGGATGCATGCTTATATTAACACCATGATATATGTACCTTTATATAAGTTTTTATATAAAATTTCATCTTTCTCAAATGTTTTAAGAGGAGTATTACATTTTTATTTTTGTATTTATTCTTACTTTTCTATTCCATCACCCACACAATTTCTAGAGAGGTTGCTGGAGGGCTTAATTCTTTCTTCCATGAAATAGCCCACATGCCACACTCCCAGTGTCATAAAAATGAGTATCTGTTGGGATTTTGTTGTGTCTTAGAAAATTAAAATCTCCCAGAAACTTATAAAACCATGAAAATCACTCATGTGATTCTAAGTCTGAAGTGCCTCAGGAAAAAGGTCATGAGCTATTTTAAAGCCTAAGAAAAGGAATAATTGTGTTAAGCTAAATGAGAGGTTTATTAATTTTCTCTCCATACATTTCTTCCTCCACTAGTGTGTATTTTTTTCCTTTTTCCTCCCCTCCACTTTTCTCCTTTTCTGCTTTTCCTACCTCCACATTTACCCCTTGTAACCAAAGCTATACAAGTATCTACTGCTAAGGAATGATATATATTTTTGGTTATTTACACCATAGTCTGTTCTTTGAGCCCAATTCGAACATTTATGGAATAGAGATCATACCCCTTTAAATCTATGAAGAATAGCCTCTCAAATTGACGATGAAAACAACAATGATTATGTTGATGATAATGCCTCAACTTTAATATTACCGAATGATTATATTACTTTAATTTTTTTCAAAGCACTTCTGTTTTGTTGGATAAATAAGGCAGATATGGGTTAAGTAGGTCTTTAGTGAGATAGTATTTGATTTCATTCTTGCTGAAGTATTCTGTGTTAAGCTCATCCTAAGTCACTGCAATATCTATCTGTAGGTACTGAAAATGACAAATACAAAAAGTTCAGTTTCATGACAGTCTTGTCTTTCATGAACTACCTGATGTTAATAAACCCTCGTATTTCCATGGTATGAATTTGTGATATATGTTCTCTAACATTAACCTATTTATCTCACCACATTCACATAATTCTTTTGGATAGCAAGGGAGTCTTCTTAACAACTTAAATTACCCCCAGTGTATAAGTTTTGGCCAGTACAGATGTTGAACTTAAGCTTTGCTCGTTTGAAAAGGTCTCAGTAAATCCCAGCTTTTTATGTGAGACACACTATGAGAAAAGGAAAAGGAATGGGAGAGGAAAGGAAGAATTTCCTAATATTACCATTTCAAGACTTATGGTTATGAAAAGAATGAGTCATTGCTCTCCTCTCATTATCATTCTTGATGACTCCTTTTGGATTTATAACTGAAAACGCAATAGTGCGGAGCTCTGGTAGAGGTATTTCTAATGAGCTTGTGGCCAGTGGTCCTTAAAAGAAGGTCTTCCATGCGGACCAATAGAGAAACGCTACACCTGTCCAAGTGATTTCTCCTGGGAAATACCTAAATGCACTTGCATGCTTTTCACTTATTTTGGCATTTATACAAATGTATGCAATTTAATATTTATGTGTATGTATTTTTTTGCCAAGTAGGCACCAGTAATTTAATAACTAAGAGTCTTTAACACTGTACTGTATATAAAACAGAAGCTCAATAGGTGTTTGTTCATTGAATAAAAGGAAGAATTCTCTCAGCTTTTTCCCACAGTAAGCAACAGTCACATTTCAGAGTAGAGCAACAGCCCCTAAGAGCTTCTTTTCAGTATTTTGTCAGCTTGTTAGCCCTGCTGAAAACTGTCACAGGCTGCAGGCAGCAACAGAGATGACAGACTTCTTGCATGGAGATGAATCCACACCCTCAGCACAATCCCTGAGGGAGCTAAACGGGAGGAAAAATGGGTAAGAGCTGGGCACTCCTCCCCACTTAAGTCTGAGTGGTGAGATTATTAATCATTTTAAAGTCAGATCTTTATGCTTTTCTATGTGTTCTACAAGTTAACATGTGTTATTTTATAAATGGAAAGGTTGTTAATTAGGAGGGAAATATGAAATAAGGCATCCATTGCCCTCTTCATTAATAAACAACAAAATTAAATGTGCTTATTTTTTAAAAAATCCTGTGTTTTACTTTTGTGTCAGAACCACAACTGGACTTATTCTAATTTGTTTTAACAAGCAATAACTGATTCCCTGCATAATTATTTCAAGAAATGAGTTTTTAAACACATTTAAAATGTTTTTACTTATTTCACTAGTTTTGGGGGAACAGGTGTTTTTTGATTACATGGATAAGTTCTTTAGTGGTGATTTCTGAGATTCTGATGCACCCATCACCTGAGCAGTGGTCACTGAGTTATCCTTCACCTTCCTCCCACCTTTCCCCGCCAGTCTCCAAGTCCATTATATCATTCTTATGCCTTTGCATCTTCATAGCTTAGCTCCCACTTATAAGTGAGAACAGACAATATTTGGTTTTCTATTCCTGAGTTACTTCACTTAGAATAATGGTCTCCAACTCCATCTAGGTTGCCGTGAATGCCATTATTCCATTCCTTTTTATGGTTGAGTAGAATTGTAGTATACACACACACACACACACACACACCACATTTTCTTTATCCACTTATTGGTTGATGGGCATTTAGACTGGTTCCATATTTTTGCAATTGCAAATTGTGCCACTATAAAGGTGTGTGCAAGTAACAGACTTAAAAATCTTTTTATAACTCATTACAACTTTCTTATTAAGAAGAAAATCTCATTTTAGTAGCTATAAAATATTTTAAATAATCCTGATATAATCCAGAGCATATACTAAAAAGAAGGCATAATTTTATATAAGGTATTCTTATCGTCTAAGACATATGAGGAAACCTTAGAGCAACTTATTATGGTAGGACTAATTCATAAATCATTAAACATTCCATGTTGATGAATAGAACATCTAATGATTACCTTTCCATTCTCAAAGAAGAGAAAAATGGTGACCTTGTAGTTTCAATTCCAGAGAAATAGTGATAACATACAGTTTCATCAAAACGTAAACCTCCAATCAACATGTTAAAAAATAAAAGTAGCTCAGGACTACCCTAGTTTGTAACTGTTCCCTTAAGGTAGATATATAATACATTTTTATATGCCCAAAATCAGTAATGAGTTTTAATTTTAATTAGCTTCATACCTTATCAAGGGAAAAGAGCACCATAAAACCTTAAAGGAATGTTAAATAGGTCGGCTCAGATTAACATCAAAACACTAACTGCTTTGTGCTAAATATTAAACTTATCTTTTACATTCTGTTTTCAGCCAAGTCATGCAACCAGTTTTATAATGTAAAGCAGGCTTTTATTTTTATACTTTCAAAAATGTATGAGGGTTAATAAAAATGTTTGAAGAAAAGACAAAATTAAAAGAAAAAAAGTGGATATAAATCCCTCTGTCACGAATGATAAAATTGAAGTAGTTGGTAACATTTGGCCCCGTTTCCTAAGCTCCCCAGCCTTGTAGAAAGCTTTGCATTTTGGCCGGGTGCGGTGGCTCACGCCTGTAATCCCAGCACTTTGGGAGGCTGAGGCGGGTGGATCACCTGAGGTCAGGAGTTCGAGACCAGCCTGGTCAACATGGCAAAACCCTGCCTTTACTAAAAATACAAAAATTAGCTGGGTCTGGTGGTGCATGCCTGTAGTGCCAGCTACTTGGGAGGCTGAGACAGGCAAAGCACTTGAATCCAGAAGGCAGAGGTTGCAGTGAACCGAGATCCGGCCATTACACTCCAGCCTGGGCAACAGAGCAAGAGTCCGTCTCACAAAAAAAAAAAAAAAAAAAAAAAGAAAGTCTTGGCATTTCGTAATTTGGTAGCATAATGGTGTTTAAGAAATTGAGCTCTGGAGTTAGACTGCCTCGTTTAAATCTTAGCTCTCCTCTTCGTGTTGTGTGACCTTAGACACAGTATCAAAGTTCTCATTGCCTTGGTTTCTTTATAAAGTGGGGTTAATGGCAGTCCTACATTTTTAAAGTTATGGAAGTTATATATGTAAATATTTTAGTATAAAACTTGGTATATAGAATTCAATAAATTTTAGTTATAGATTACTGGTTACTTGTGATTGTTCAAGTAAAAACATGTATGCTAAAATTATTCCTAACTCTGTTTAAATGTAGTTAGTATCACTAGTGCATAAAAAAATATACACATGATTTTAGATATTCCCCTTCCTGAAGTGGAGGCTATCTTCTTTTTCTCAAGTGTGAACTAGACTTAGTAACTCATTTCTAGAAAATGGATTAAAGTAGGAGTAATGATGTGTAACTTCTGAGACTGGCTCATAAAAGGCATTGGGGCTTTGTCCTTGCCCTTTCTCTGGGATCACTCAATCTGGGGAAAGTTAGCTGCCATGTTATGAGAACACTCAAGCAGCCCTGTGGAGAGTCCATTTGGCCTCCTGCCAACAGCCATGTAAGTGAGCCTTTTTGGAAATAGATCCTTCTGTCCACTGTCAAGCTTTCAGATGACTGCAGCCCAGGTCGGCATCTTCAATGCAACCTCATGAGAGATCCTGCTCAGGAACCACCGTGCTGAGCTGCTTCTGGATTCCTGAGACTTCAAAAATGTGTGAGATAATAAATGTTCATTGCTTTAAGCCACTATACAGAGGGTATAACTTTGGGGGTAATTTGTTACATAGCAATAGATAACTAATACATGGTCTTGTGTTATTTGTGTAATTTGGACTAGGAGAATTAAACCTAATAATGACAGGGCATTTAAGGTGTGAAAAAGCCAGCCTAGGTGTTCAGGTTAAAGTTGCCTCAGGTCCTGTCCCCAGAATAAGAGCTTGGGTTAAAGTTGCCTTTCTGGGCGCTGTTCCCAGAATAAGAGCTTCTTAACAACAAGCTCCATTTCCCTTTAATGACCTGGATTTTTTTTTTATTCCTTTCCTTTTGCCTTGTCTTGATATTCCCCACACCAAATTATATTCCCTCTGACTCCTTCTCTACTTGGAGTTATCAATTGTGGCCTGAAAATGTTCATGTGGCAGATATTTTACATTTTTTCTGCTGTCAGGTAAAATTGTTTGAATTGATAGCATTTATTTCTTCTAATTTTAATACATGTTCACTGCAGAAAAATTGGAAAAATAGAGAATAGGTTAAAGGATGAAAGTAAAGTTATCAGTTATCTAACCACCCAGAGGTAGCCACTATTAATACGTTGGTTTTCTTCTTTTTAGGATTTCTATATGTTTATCTCCACATGTACCCAAACCTGTGTAAATTAAGATACTATTAATTTTAGGCTGTTGTGGTGTTCAACTTCTTATTTAAAATTTTCTTCTGCCATTTTTTAAGAGTATAGATTTTTAATGATTGTACATTATATCATGTTATTATCTACATAATATATCATAATCGATTGTTGATCACTTACTTAATGTATTATTTTTTTGCTATTGTAAATTTATGAATAAGAGTTCCTCAAAAAATATGAGTGTCAACGTGTATTATTCTCATCTCTTTCAATTGATCTTCATGGAGATTTACTTTTTTACTGTTGTTTTGTTTTGTTTTGCCTATAAATTTCTACAGAATGGGAATCCTCAAAACCCCTACTGTGATGGCATTGAGGGGGTCATGGAGGCTTATTACAGGAGTCTGAAATCTGTACAACTATATGGGCCCACCAACTTTGCTCCTGTAATTAATCATGTAGCAAGGTAAGTAGAGAGTAGACAAGGTGCTTATTCTGATGTACTGGAACATGGTGAACTCATAACATTGTTGCTAGCATGACTCCACACATGAAAGTTGTTTTCTTCTAGTTTACCTCCAAGAAAGTGGGGAAAAAATGTATGTTAGAAAGAGTCTCTATCAAACGATCATGATACTTTGCTGAGAACTGTACATTAAAATATCAAGTGAAGAAACATTTGCTGGGTTATGTTAGGAACTATCTTTGTTCAACTAAGGAAAACATTTTCTTAGGAAAAGGCATCCATGAGGAAAATAACAAGATCAATGGTGATGCCAACTGTGTAAATCATTCTTATCTAATATCACATTCCATAATAGTAATAAGTAGCATAGAAGTAGTAAGAGACTGAATTCTATTAGATGACTACTTGAAGCTGTCAACGACATATAGGGCACATTATTTTAATCTCTCTGAAATGAATATAGTAGCTAATTTATAAATTCCCAGAGCTCTACCTGTATATGGTACATAGTACTGAGATCAGAATATAATTGCTTATTACTCCAAGTACATGTTCTGAAGAAAATGTTAAAATGTTAAAAATAAATCTATACATACTTATCATTTTTTCGTTAGTACATAAATGAATTAGACAACACTTTTTAAATCCCTAGAAAGTTTGGCCTATGTAAATCCTATGACACCCTGAATTATTTTGAGATAATTAGAAATTGCATATCCTTTCAAATATGTAGCCAGAACTTGAAAAAAATTATGTATTTTGGTCAGTTTATCAAGTACAAAGGCAATGTGAAACCCCAGTTCTCTGAAGGTTCTAGTACTTTACCATCTTCCCTAATGAATATTACCGGCAACTTCAGTGTGCTCTACTTTTCATTATCTGGGACACGGACAAAATGCTAAAATATCCCTTGCACCCAGGGCTGACCCCAGTGCAACTTCCCTGTGGAACTCCAACTCAGGTTGACAGTGATACATTGATGACTTTTCTCTGAGTGTGACCCTTCGGCTTGAATTTTTCGGACAAAATCATCTGCAATCTCTACTAAAATATGAATTTTATTAATATATATTAACCCTGTACATACACAACCCCCCAAAAAAGTTACTCATGAAATGGTACTTAGTCTTACCTGTTTTATCTTTATTTCTATGGCACCTGTTCTTCTCTATTTCTCTTTTCTTAAATACAATCTTGGCCCCCAAAATTGATCTCACAATCCATTAATGGGTCATTACTTGCAATCTGAAAAACATATCCTAGCTTATTATACTAGCCGATGTAAGTAATGTCATATATACTATATATTGATGGCAGTCAAATAAAGCAGAATATAATACCATGCTAATGCAAGATAAATTATAATTGATGGCCACACTACCCTGCAGATCACTTTTTTATAAAAAGATAAGAGAAAAATGACAAGAATTCTTTTGTATGAACTCATGCTGGTTATTAGAAATGTGTTCATCAATGCTTACCAAGTAATTTCATAATTTTTTCTGGTATATATTTATAGTAAAAGTTAAAGTGATAGATATAAAATATCTAGGTGCATTTCTATATACATTTAAAATCAAAGGCTCCACAGTGTTCTATTGCGATTTTTTGTTTTATCTATCATTTTGTAAGTTCTTGAATATAGGAGCACCTGCTAGTGAAAGCTTTCAGACTCCTTGAAAATAAACTATGATCTAATAATTCTTTATTATTTTTTACATGAGAAAATTAAGAAAAACAGTAAGAGATGGCTATTTAAGAGTCATCTTTTCCTTCCAATACAATATAGGAAGTTCCATGTATACATTTCTTAGTATAAGACCACAAAAGAAATGCTTTTATCCTTTCATCTTTGAATTTTATGTTTAATTGTATTTTTAAGCTTGTATTGAGACAGACAATTTCTGTCTGACCCAAAATTATCATTCAAAAAGTTTAACAACTAAGCAGACGAGGTACTATTTTTTTCTCTATTAAGAGAAGCGCCATAGTTATAGTGTGTGTGACCTCCATTTATGTAAAATTCTTGCTTTATATAACTCTTAAAAGCTTATCAACAGTACTTAGCATCATACCTATTATGTAGGAGGTAAGTATTCAACAAATGTCTAAAACACAAATTCTGTATATGTTAATATATTATCATTAAAAATTATTTTTAGCAATGTCAAAACAAATATATATTCATACTTTTTATATTGGCTTGATATTATTTTCCTTAAGTATATTTTCTATGTGGGTAAAAGCTCAGTATTTATTGTCATTTTCTAGAAGCATTTTAAAGAATGCTTACTCTTTTTAAGAATAACAATTTTAAGCACGTTTATTTTTAGGATTCATATCTATGTATCTCTGATCTGTTTGACTTTTTAGGTAATATTAATGAGGTAACAATATTGTAAAATAGACAAGACTCAAAGCATCAAATTTATAAAATTTGAAGGTTTTATATGCTTTTTTTTGAGGCTTTCCAGCCCCTGCTTCTGATTTCTTGCCTTTCCAGTCCTCCTTTTCCAGTGCTCTCTGGGGAACAGCATTTCAAATGATGTAAAATCCTACTCAACATCTGTTGATGCCTTGTCATAAATTTAAGTGCAGACGGTTTAGCTTGGCATTCAAGAACATCCAGTATTCAACCAGCACTCACCCATCCAACCTCATTTCCACATTCTCTCAAATGTACTGCACTTCAGTCACAGAGAATCTCTGCTTCTTCTGGTCTATGATATCATTCCATGCATGTGTCTATTACTAATTTGATACTACTCTGTGGTTACATGTAGATCTTTTCCACATTGAAGGGAGGAATTATTCATTGTGACATTCATATACATGCACATATATACATATAAAAATAAAAGCCACAGTACTTTGGATATACTGAGATATCTGTACCCATTTGTTTAATTAAATTATCTGAATACCACATGAGGTTTTGTTTGTTTGCTCTGTCGCCCAGGCTGGAGTGCAGTGGGATGATCTCGGCTCACTGCAACCTCTGCTTCCCAGGTTCAAGCAATTCTCCTGCCTCAGCCTCCCAAGTAGCTGGGATTATAGGTACCCGCCACCATGCCTGGCTAATTTTTGTATATTTAGTAGAGACAGGATTTTGCCATGTTGGCCAGTCTGGTCACAAACTCTTGACCTCAGGCGATCCGCCCGCCTTGGCCTCCCAAAGTGCTGGGATTATAGGCGTAAGCCACCACGCCTGGCTGAGTTCATTTTAATTAACAAAGTTATAATAGGAAACTAAAGAACCTTTTTGGTTTTGAGACAGAATCTCTCTCTGTCACTCAGGCTGGAGTGTAGTGATGCGATGTCAGCTCATTGCAAACTCCACCTCCCAGGTTCAAGCAATTCTTGTGCCTCAGCCTCCCGAGTAGCTGGGAATACTGGTATGTGCCACCACACCTGGCTAATTTTTGTATCTTTAGAAGAGACGGGGTTTCGCCTTGTTGGCCAGGCTGGTCTCCAACTCCTGGCTTAAGTGATCCACCCGCCTCAGCCTCCCAAAGTGCTGGGATTACTGGCATGAGCCACTGGGCCCAGCCTAAATACTCTTTTAAATGATAATGCTTAGCCAATCTTAATGACCTATGGAAATGTGATTGTGATTAACACCTACTGTATCAGTCAGGGTTCTCCAGAGAACAGAACCAACAGGAGACATATAGACATGGACATAGATAAAATATAGAGATATATTTTAAGGAATTGGCTCATGTAATTGTAAGGGATAGCAAGAATGTAATTTGTAGGACAGGTTGGTAGATTGGAAACTCAGGTAGGATTTCATACTGCAGCCTTACGTGAGTATTCCTTTTTTTCTGGGAAACCAGTTTTTGCTCTTAAAGCCTTCAACTAATTGGATGAAGCTCCTTTACTTAAAGTCATTTGATGGTAGGTGTTAACCATATCTATAATCTTTGATTAAATAAGTGGGATTTATAGTCTAGTTGACACATAAGCATCATCATCCTACCTACTAAAACAAAGAAATATATTGCCATTATGTTGTAAATTGACAACAAATTTAAATTCTGAGAAATAATTTTAGGTTCTTGCAGATATGAACTTAATACTATGTTGAATGTCTAAAATACTATGTTTAAATCTTATTAATCACAATAGAAAGAAAAATATTTTTAAAATAATGGTTTTTGTGGAATGCAGTTTGAATAAAATGGAGTTTTAAGCATCCCCTGATTAATCTGTTTCCTCTTGTATATGGTGTAAACCATCTTTACATTCCTGTTCTTATCATTTAAAAAAAATTTCTATTCATCTAGAATTCTTCATCAATAATTTTAAGTAATTTGAAATAAATTTAATTTGTTGGTATATTATACCAGCTTAATATTTCAAAAATAAACTAATATACTAATGAAAATTTCAAGTATCTTTTCAGACTATTATGAAAATTTCTTCACTCGATTTAAATATATTCATTATTTCCTATTAGTCTTTTGTTTCCTGTGCCTAATGAGTTACTTGTTTTGAGGCTGTCACATTTCAATTTTAAGGGGGATCTATCAGTTTCTATCTTTTGGCTATTTGTAATTTTTTTCTGTTTTTTTCTGATATTGAGAACCTTCTAAAATCCAGATAACTATCCAAAATGAATTTTCATTTTTTAGGAAATAACTTTTTATTTTGGAATTCTTATAACTAATTTTCAAATTAAATAATGTATTATGCTTTATTTATTCAATCTTACAATCAATAATAAAATAAAAACTGTTCTTATGGAGCCCATGATCTATCTCTAACAACATGTTCAGTGCTATAATATGGATTATCTATTCATCTTCACAACAACTCTAAGAGGTGACAGTAGTGTCATTTCCATTTTGCTGATGATAAAATAGATACATAGAGTGATCATTTGTGGTAGAGCTAAAATTCAAACTGGAATAATCTGACTCCAAATCACTATATTTTGATGCCTTACATCTTTAAGCCTTTTTATCTCTGCTACAGAGGTAAAGTCACACAAAAGAAAATGCAACAAAGCTACCTATCTATGTGGATACAGTGATCACTTCATTGCCCAGTCAAAAGTAGTTTGGGGTGACACTTAGTAACATAAAATTTGCTCTGCTACTTTGTGTTGAAATATTTTAATGTATTCCTTTATTCATTGTTAAGAAGTTTTAATCCATTTTGCAAATCATAATTGAACTACTTAAATAAAACATCCCTAAGTCAGTTTCTTATCTTATATTCTTGCCCTCTCTATTCTTGTGAACTAATAATAAGCTGAAAGAATATTCCACGAATCTGAGCCAACCAGATATGAACTTTTATAGAAATAATCCCAGAAACTTATTTCAAAGAAATGCAAAAGAAATGTGTTTGAATTGTACTGCCCTGACAAAGTTAACCTCTCTTTCAGATATATCATAGTAATATTAAGATATAAATTATAGATAGGCTATATTTCAAAAAAGACAGCTGGCTTTTAGTAATAAGACTTAATTATGCAATTTATAAAAGGATTCCCCATCAAGTTCTTTTAAGAAGCAAGCTTCTCTAATACCTTTAAAATATAATTTGAATCTGTGAGTCTATATATCAGTGTCACCTCCTAGAAAAAGTATTGAGGTGTGGCCAGCTTATAATTTTTACTTCATCCATTTCTGTAGCATGTTAATTATTTTATCTTAAATATATAATATTTTTAAAATAACTAAATGAGAAGAAATGATAATACTTTAAAATAAAAGGCTAAGTAGAATAAATGGTAATACAACATTGATTTTGTTTGAAATTTAGATTTACTTTCAAAGTGCAACAATGTGCCAACGTGTAGAACAAGTGCCAAAGAAGCAACAACTGGTTTTAAAAGATTAATTTGTGGTGCCGAAGGTGATAAAGACTAAAATGGATTGGACAGAACTTAAAAGTAAAATGTAATTGATTTTCAAATTACATATGCCTAGCAGTAGTGACAGTCACACAATAAACTCATGCAACTTTCTACAGCTTTAATGGTTTTCAAAGTGAAGAGATATAAAATATTAATACAAGCATGTATTTATCATAAAGTATAAAATTTCTATGAATTTTTAAGATAAAACAAACTTCAGCGAAATTCCAAGTTTACTATGATCTGCTTTAGGCTGTATCTATAACTCTCTTATAGTGTGAATATATTCTTCTCCTTTTCTTAGGTATACATTCTGGTATATCCAAAGAAAATCAGTTAAGCCACTGGAAGCAGTATTTTATATGACTGCATAGTAGTCAGCTGTCTGTATTGTTTTTTAATCTGGTAGATATTTTACATTTTGAGAGTACCATTTGGTAAGAAAAGCATAAAAGCTATACTGTTGTACTTAAGAAGGTTTTCACTACTATTTAGAGTCTTTCATTATTCTCATGAAATATAAAACCCTATCTTTCTGAATCATAGTAAGAAATGCTTTCTTAAAAAATAATGGATATTTAAAAATTAAAAATTGAGATCCTGGGGGAAATTGTTAGACTTCTTTTCTTTAAAACAAAAAAAGTTAAACGTGGAATAGGAGAATAGGTTTATAACCGCTTTGGATTGTTTTCCACTGGTTGTGTTACTACTAAATTAATACATATTCTTTAATGTCCAGAATCAATTGTTCAGTATTATGGGGATATTTTTAATTCTATAGTACATTGTGGAACCTGTTCAACATCCTGCTTACAGGGTGTGATTGAGCATGCCACTTACTATATTTACTTTAACAATCTTTAAAATTACCAGTATTTTATTAGTAGCATGGACAAATCTTATTATCTATAGTCCATGGGGAAAGTTGTAAGTATTTTTCTTCTTTATATGTTTTTAAATTCTGCTACTCAAGAAATAAGTTGTGCCCTGACATACGTTTTATACTATTTGTTTGTCACCAACTTGTTCAAATGGGATTCATTGGGCTCCTTAAGATTGTAAAGGAATTTTCATTAATCCTTCAGGTTGTAAGGGAATTTTTACTTGATAACTTTTAGAAATACAGATCAAGATCTTCTTTACTATCCTATCTCCTAAGAGAACCAGAATGCTTACTTAGCACTGGACATGAATTGCAAAAAATCGTAAAAATTATCTCTATTGAGAATATAATCTAGATATCTAGAATGTAGAAAACTAAAGGAAAAGAGAAATGTAATGAAATGTAACATATTCATAAAATTCCCCTCTAAATTACTGAGTATTATTTGATATGTTATCATATACATAATTTTGTGCTTTGAAATAACTCTCCGTCTCATCTTTCATAGATTTAACATATATTAAGACTTGACTGTGGATGTGTCAAAAATATTTCTTCTATTGTGTAATTTTATTGAGGTGAAATTTTCATAATAAAATTCACCATTTAAACGTATACCATTCAATGACATTTAGTAAATTTGTAATGTTGCAACCATTACCTCTATGTAGTTCAAAAACCAAAAGCACTTATGATTATTGCTATCATTTATACAATGCTTATATTGAGTACCATACATGCAATTCTTCATTAATTCATGCAGCAGTATAAAGATGTAAGTGTTATTGTCTCAGTTTTAAAGCTAAGAAAATAACTTTCACATAGCTTAGGTAATTTACTGAAGATCACTTACATAATGTGTTGCTTAGTCAGGATAAGTCCATTTCCAAAAGCTATGTCCATTTCTTTGTACTAAATAGTCACTCATCTAGCACACTTTGTATTAGTAAATGAACTTTTAGGCAACTAGATATTTCTGTGTGCCAGCATGCACTAACATTGCAATTGTTCTAGTGTGTTATTTCAGATAATTGTGTATTTGAAAGTTTGCATAAGATATACCTCTAACATGTTCAAATATTTTATTGAGATTAAAATGTTTGTTAACTATTCCAAATTGTATTTACCAACCATCACATATAGAAAACTGTTTTACTTTCCTTACCTTTTCGTTGCCTTTCAGATATGCTTCTTCTGTAAAGGATGGCTCCCAGTATTTTGTGCTTCTGATTGTTACAGATGGTGTTATCTCAGATATGGCCCAGACTAAGGAGTCCATAGTTAATGTAAGTGGGGGTCACTCCGTATTGGGCTCGCTACGTGACAACATGGTGCTACTTAGAGAGAGACTAGAGTCTATTCTAGTTAACAATAAAATAAAATCACCACACCTTTGCAGCAGATTGCATCCTTAACCTTATCCAGACAACTCATATACATCTGTACCACTGATCCAGGGGGATCAAGCTAAGGGATATTAATTATTTTAGTTAAAAAAAATTTTTGCCTAAAGAAAAAAAAAGATAATAGCATAATTTTCACAGGCATGGGTTTGTTAACCTCTATTAGTTTGATGTATTTGTGTACAATCTTGTGATTTATACTGGTTATTTCTTAACATTTACATTCCAGTTAGAGGAGAACTATGATAGCTAATTGCTATTTCTGTAGAACTGGATAGTGACTGATTGATTAAAAAACCATCCTGCTCATTATAATTCCTAATTGTATGTTTTTTTTTTAGGGTTATTTGATTGTTTACTAATCTATAAAATCTATGTTTACTAGATGGTAATTTGTAAAGTCTCTAGGTTTAGCAATGTTTGGCACGAAGTAGACATTTGATAAATACAGGCTGCAGGAATGAGTGGCATTAATATGCACTTTAAAATATGGACTTGGTAATTTAGGTTTAACTAAGAAGACATGATGCCCTGAGGAATAATCAGTCATATTTCAGTGATCTTCATAGCGAAAGATGTGATTGCTCTAGTGTTCCATCTATCTATTGCTGGATCAATCTCACATTCTTACTATTAAATTATTTAAGTGATGATATGTGATATATTATATGGAAAAAACATGTTATAACATGAAATATTTAGTCTCCCTCAAAATCTCAAGGATATTTAGTGCATAACAGTACTAACTTTCTGTAATGATCATTTGTATTCACTCATTTACTGTGAAAATTGCTTTTTCTAACCTTGGGTATAAATGAGGTAGATTATGGTACTACTACTATTTTATGAATCTGTTACCACTTTCCCCCTTTAGCAACTGAAATATTTTTGGAGGAGAAAGAACATGAAAAGAGGAAAAAGATACCCAAAGTCAGCTTAGAAAGGTTTTGTCTGAGAGTAGAAAGTGGAAGTAGATGCTCCTTACCTTCTATTTGATCTTACCCAGGGCTGGTCATTTCCGAAGAATGTCCCACTGGATTAATGTGTGCAGAGAGTTTGGAAAGGATAAGAATGGAATCAAGTATATTATTCTGTATTAACAATTTTGAATATGCTCACAAATTATTTTAATGAACATCTGTGAAAAAATATTAAATAAAACTCTGGTTATATTTGCTTCTTAATTATTATTTTTTCTTTTTTAATTTTTTTTTTTTTTTAGACAGGCTCTCACCCTGTTGCCCAGGCTGGAGTGCAGTGGCACGATCATAGCTCACTGCAGCCTCAAATTCCTAGGCCCAGGTGATCCCTCCACCTCAGACTCCCAAGTAGCTAGGACTTCAGGCACACACCACCACACCTGGCTAATTATTTTTTGGTGTAGATGGGGTCTCACTATGTTGCCCAGGCTGTTCTCAAACTCCTGGCCTCAAGCAATCCTCCTTCTTTGGCCTCCCACAGTGCTGGGATTTCAAGAGTGAGATATCATGCCTGGCCTTTAATTATTTTCTTAAGAACTCAATTTCTTAATTGAAACCTAATTGTATATTCTCTTTGAAGGCCTCAAAACTTCCAATGTCAATAATTATAGTAGGTGTTGGACCAGCAGAATTTGATGGTGAGTAGTAAAATTTCAATAATATTCCTTGGGAGTTCATTTAATCTAATGTAACATGCTCTTGGGTTTCTGCCATTCTTGTCTCTTTAGAAGGATGTGACTGTGTATTTGGGTTTGTATATAATGTTCATGTGTCCATAATTAGACATATACATAGATAGCTCATGATGATGTCTATTCAGGTGTGCCAATTAAAAGATCCTGTCTTTTCACTAGGATATTATCTCTCTAGTTTATAGATTATTTCAACATGTAGCTTTCTATTTCATTAGAGGTAGTTTGTACCTCAAAATAATATCTCCTAAGACTGACAGAGTGATAAATTGAGTTTTTGTTCCCAAGGCAAAACACACTCTGTGTTCACTAAAACCCTTTAAGGATGAGTGCTAAATTAATAAATCATTAGGTTGTGAAAAGAAATGTTAACATAAGCATAATATGCTAATTTAATGGGTTTTCGGGCTCTAGCTAGTTGATAGACATTAGCCTTATAAATAAAGAAGTTGTGTCATATGAAAGAGAAAAGTAAAATGAAAATGGAGCTGACCAGCTGAAATTTAATGAGACTTTATATAATTATGCTAAATTGGCATACTGGGTAGTTTTTCATTCAGGCTCAAGGCTTGTTCAAATGCCCATTAAGAGACAAATGTTTGTGTAACGAGTGATCTGGGTAAATGTTCGTAGTCATCTGATAAATTCCTTTAAGAGAACTTTGTGCTAGACAGCAAGTACACAGCCACATAATATTCACCTGGTTCAGGTGTTTTATATTAACAATGGCAGCTTATTTAGCTTGAGGCTTTGGAAATGAGAATGGTTTTAGAATGTTTGACACAATCTTTGTAAGTTACTGGTTAACTTAAGCACATAGGTGGCTAACTAGATTGTAATTATCACTGAGGTGATTCTTATTTAACCACCAGTCCCTCCTGCATGAGAATAATAAAGAGCTGTCAGTCTCAGGTAAAGCACCACAGGCAAGTTGTATTGCTGACCCTGGAATCCCTAAATTCTAATCTTGGCTGGTCATCCTTTCTAGCATGATAATCTTACAGTTTCAAAAGCAAGTCATTTATCCCTCACCAACACTGCTTCTCCTGTTATTTTCTCTATCTCTATTAGCATCTACTTGAGTTGTACTTCGGGCATGAATTTCAGATACCTCTCTGGAGACAGGAAGGCTAAGACATCTTTCCTCTCCATGCTTTGCACACTTGATAATCTGCATTAACTAGTGATAGACTGTGATTCACAAACTTCACCAATTGGTAGGCTAAAATAACTCATGCTTTCTTCTTTGGCTACTATTTGCTTTTGACTTTGAAGGATGTATCTTTCATGGGTATATCTCAGGTCTCTCAGACTCCTATGGAAGTCCACCTTTAGGCATATGACCTCAGAGATGGTAAACCTCAATCAGTTCTTTTTCTTTGAGAGCTCCCACACCTGATTCATAAATGCAAAGCCACTGACCCTTCCTGGCATATATTTCTGGTAACACATTTCTATACAGAGCAGCAGGCACAGCCGTTTTGCTACTGCCCTTATCCAATAGCCACAGCTATTTATTTTCTTCGTTTCTTTAGTTCCCAGCAAATTTGTTAGGGTTTTAAGGTATGATAATTCATCATTTTCTCTCTGTGAGGTCCTGAACTAACTGGAAAAAAATATATGCAAGAATCATTCGGATCACTCTATCAGCTTTATTACTAGCAATGCAGAATTTGAGAACTTGGGTTAACCTGTGGACAATCACATTCCCATTACTTTTTCCCTCCAAAATTAAATTATCTCATTCTTATCTCCAGGACTTCTCCTTATAGAGGCGGAGTTTTGCCTATTAAGCATGCCACCGAGAGAAATTATACTTATCCTCAGGATAGTGCTGCTCCAAATGAGAGTGATTCAAGCTCAGTTATTTCTCCTAATCTTAGTAATCCTATTCCTCTTTCCATGCAGAAAGGTAAATGAAGATTGTAGATGAAAAGGGAAGTTGCCTTCCCAGAAGTTAGAGTGAAATTTTCCTCTGGAAACATGGGAACAGGGAATTAGGCTCCTGTAACACCTGGTTTCTGTTTTCACCATGATGGAAGTTCTAATGGGATAGAAAAACTTCTGGGCCCAGTACTAGAAAAGTAGATTATTCTGCTAGGCGACAACAGGTGCTTCTCTAAAATATTTTTCCTTTTTTCCTTTCAAAACACATCTCTTCATGGCTTAAAAAAAATTTCTATATTAAACTCATGTTTAATATAGAAAAATCTCTGACTAGTCAAATTGTTGCTCTCCTATCAGAGGAGCCTCTCATGACACTTCCAAATCTACTCTAGAGTAAGTGTATATATCACACATATGAACTGACTGACCTAAATCCAACTGGCAAATTGTATTAGTCTGTTTTCACACTGCTATAAAGAAATGAGACTGGGTAATTTATAAAGGAAAGAGGTCTAATTGACTCACAGTTCCACATGGCTGGGAAGGCCTCAGAAAACTTAGAATCATGGTGGAAGGGGAAACAGTCATATCCTACATGGTGGCAGGAGAGAGAGAGAGCATGTGAGAGGGCAGGAAAGAGGGCCATTTATAAAACCATAAGATCTTGTGAGAATTCACTCACTATCACGAGAACAGCATGGGGGAACCACCCCCATAATCCAGTCACTTCCCTCCCTCTACATGTGGGGATTACAGGTCCCTCCCTCAACACATGGGAATTACAATTTTAGATGAGATTTGGGTGGGGACACAGAGCCAAACCATATCACAGATTTCATCAGCTAACCACATAAAGCCAACATCTACACATTTTTTAACCTGAAAGACATTGTTTCCATGGGCAAGAAATACAATATGTTGCCATCTGTCCTTTGAAGGTACAGGAAATAAGAATAGACTATTAGATTATTTAAATTTAACTCTGTATTTTGATAAGACCATTTTAAAACTATCTACATAAATTTCCCCAGTGACTCTTTTTCAGTACTAAAAAAGAACCTTTATTATAAAGAAAGATTTCTCAAAGCAAGATTTCTTTATACTTAAAAGGCAGCCAAAAAGTCAAATTAAAGCAGCATCTGGCTATCTGCTTTGATTCGAGTTAGACGAAGGGGATAAATAAAAGGGTTTCTAACTTCATTGTGTCTCCCATGGCTAGAAAGAAATGCAAATCTGTCTCATACACCTTTCCAGGAAGAGGTAATGGTGGGAGACTGGGGTTCATAATCTCCACCTGCTTGAGGACCAGATGGTCTGCACACCTGAAGAGTAGACCTGACCCCTCCACCACTTACACACCATCTCTCTTCTTGCTCTCAAAAGCACAGCCTCCACTTCTTGCTGTCTACAGTGTTTTAAACCAGACATGCTGAAAAGTGGGAGATATTTTATAGGACTTCATGCTAATACAGTATTGCCTAAATGACTGTCCTTTTCTTCATTAATTGGAATGAAACACAAAGACC